>NC_000022.11:36436836-36588351 GCF_000001405.40 Homo sapiens | reverse complement strand
CCCCAGGCCAGTTCTCACCTTCCCAGCAGGCACCGAGGAAACATTTAGAGTCAAAAGATCCTAGTTTCAGCCCTGATTCCGTCATTTCCTAGCCACAAGCACTTGCTCAGATAGTTCAGCCTTTCTGAGCCTCAGTTTCCTCATCTATACAATGAGGATGATAATACCCCCCTCACAGGCCTGTGGTGGAACCAAAATGAGCTGTAGTTCAAAACCCAAAAGTCCAGCCCCCAGGGGGCTCAACTTCCTCCCCACCCCCATATTTATTTCAGAGCAGTTGGCGGCTGGGTTTGGTGAATTCCGTGCGGAATTGCAGATGGGAAAGTGTTTTGCAGGCTCTTCTAAAGGGCTGTGGCAGCATCTGGCAGCACCAGTGCGGGGTGTGTCCCCTTTAGAAAGTGATCTGCTACTTTCTCACATGTAAAATGCAGGATGACTCCCAGCTATGCTGGGGCACAGAGACGGGCTGAGGAGCATTCATCGGCCTCCTGCGTGGCAGTCCCCAGCTCGGAATCAAACCTCCACTGCTGCCAAGCCTCCGCTAATCCTCAGAAGCTTCAGTGCAGGGACAGAAGGCAGCGTTTTGAAGTCGTCGGCTTTAGATCCTCTCTGCAGTACTGCGGGTGTGTGTGTTGTGATTCACCAGGCAGATGTCCAAACGGACAAAGCGAAACCTTCCTTCAGGGGTGAGGGAGAGGGCTGAGTGAGTTTCCAAAGAGCCAGAAGTTGGGAAGAGGCAGGTGGGCCCTAAGCGCCCCCAAAACTATGATGTTTCATGTGCTCCTTCTCCCCTTGTTTTGCAGGGAATTTCAAAGGTCTGTGCAAGCAAATTGATCACTTCCCAGAGGATGCAGATTACGAAGCTGACACAGCAGAATATTTCCTCCGTGAGTGCACACGATTGTTTTTATCTCCCTCCTGGTGGTGGGCCCTGCCCTTCCATCCTTCACAGAGTCAAGGACCAGGCCTACCTAGAGGCCCTCATCACAGCAGAGGGCAGGAAAAAGCTAAGCCTCTCTCCTTTCCGGAGTACAGACCTTCATATGTGCTGTTCCCTCTGCCTGCAATGCCCTTCCCTGCCCGTCTTTGTCTGGCAAACTCCTACTCAGTCGACCTCCAGGTCTCAGCTAAAACATCACCTTCTCCAGGAAGTCCTTCCTGCCTTCTGCATGAGTTCCTAGAGGACGGTACTTTATCATGCTGTAGGGTCCTTGGCTATTTGAGTAACCATCTCCCAACTCTGCTAGGGTATGGACTCACCCTAGCATTCACCATTATATTCTCAGCCCAGTGCTTGGCATGTGATAAGCACTCAGTGAATATTTCTTGAATAATTGGATGAAGTAACCCACCAGGCAGTGCCAGATTGGAACTTCTAATGAAAAAAAAAAAAAGAGAGAGATTTTTTCTTCCCCCGCAAGTCAAGTAAGTCAAAGTTAAATCCTGATGTAACAGCTGCAATCTTAAATCCACCTGAGACATATTATCAAGAGAAAGCATTCTGAGGCTCCAAGGAAATGTCTCAAGTATCAGCAAAAACTAACAAGGCTACCTATTCCCTGAGAAAGGGATTTCCAAGAGAGGGGCTGAGAGTCCTTGAGGCCTGGGACAGCAAAGCCGAGGTTCTCAGGCCATCTCTTTGGAAGGAGGTTTGCTCTCCTCCCAGGAGCAACCCCGCCTCTGCTCCAGGCCCTGCCACCTCCCCTTCCCAACAGCACAAGGACTGCCATTGCCCTCAGATCACTTTTATGAAGCATGTAGGAGGCATTTTATTATATAGATTGCCCCTGTCTCTTTCAATAATTACTTCTCACATCAAGCCCAGCTCTCAGGTCAGCCTGGAATCTGGTTTCATTGAAAAGCCCGTGGAATGTAAAGTCAGCCAGGCAGCTGGGAAGAAAGAGGGAGGGAACACGATGCAATTTTTAGATTCTTTTTTTTAAAGGAAAAAATATCATACCCTGCTCTTCATTTCCTTTTATGAATTCCTTCAAGACGTTGCTCTTAACTGGAATTCCTAAAAGGCCATTTGGTTGTGGTTACCTGTTACCTGCGACTGTGTCTGGGGTGGGGCTGCAGGAGCCCAGCTGTGCGGTAAACGTGGGTTGAGCTCCTTCTGTGTGCTGGATCCTGTGCTCCGTGCTGGGGAGGCCAAGATGGATGGGGCCTGCCCCCAAGAAGAGCACAGCCTGGCAGGGAGGGCCCTTGGAAAAACAGCTCAACTTGGGAGACACAGCATGGCAGAGGTGAGGCCTGAATGTAGAAGGGGGAAGCCAGCAGGCAAAGCCAAGCCCCACACTGGGAGCCACATTCCCGGAGCACAAGGCTCACCAGGTGGAGCTCGAATGATGTCATGCTTTATCTGCTAGGCAGTAAGTGCCTGGGGGCAGAAAACTTGTCTCATTCATTGCTGCCCTTATAACAGCTCAATGAATGCTTTTTGTTAAGAAGAGATAGAGGATTCTTCAGTAGCAATTCCTAACAACTCAATGCCTCCATTTCCTTGTTTTTAAGAAAGAAGAGCATAGAGCATAGAGTATTTGGTTCATTTTGGTGTCCCTGGACAAAAGACTTGGACTCAGATTGGCAACGACAGGATTCTGAAGGTCTGATTTGAGTTGACTTAATCCAACAATATTTTTTGAACACCTGTAGCAGGGGTCGGCAAACTTTTTCTGTAAAGAATCAGATGTTGAATATTTTAGGCTTTGTGGGCCATGCAATCTCTGTCCCATTTACCCAACTCTGCTCTTGTGGCCACTGACAATATGGAGGCATATGTGTGGCTGTGTTACAGTGAAACTTAACTTGATTTACACAACCAGGCAGCAGGCTTCATTTGGTATAGTTTGCTGACCCCTGGTCTATAAAATGCTAGTCCTGGGCCGGAAAACAAAAATAATTCTTTAAAGCTGGAAGACGCAAGTTTCTATCATTCTCTACGAAGTTCTAACCTAGATCTTGAGAGAAGCTGGAAGACGGGGATGATTTTTCTAGAAGGATCCCCTGCCCCCAGTCCCTACCCCCGCTTCTGATTCAGAAGCTCCTCTGGGGCCTCCCTGGCACCCTGCATGTGTCTACAATTCAACCCCGACCACACTTTGCTGCAATGTCACTGGTTCACACTCGGGATCCCCAAGAGACTATGAGCTTCTTGAAGGCAGAGCTATGTCCCATTCATTTCTGCACCCCAAGCACCCAGAAAAGGCCATGGCAGGGAATTTGACCCAAAAAAGCACTTTGATGACTGAGCAATGAAGTGACTGGGTGGGTGAATATGTGAACACTCAAGTAAATCATGGTCTAATGCCCCGAGATCAATGCAAGCAACAGGCTTCCAGAGGAAAACAGCTGGGCCCCCATTCGCCAGAAGTAGGCAGGTGGCTCCCAGAGGTGGGCAGAGCTTAGGCTGAAGGAGGCGGGCTGAGCTGCACCTGGGGTGGAGAGGGCCTGAGTCCACTCCTAGTTAAGGTCTGTCAAACCCATCTGCACCGCTCATCTGCCGCAGGGGAGGCTGTGAGGGGGCAGAAGCAGCTCCTCTCCCTGAGGGCTAGCCATCTGGAGGGAGACCTACAGACCTAATGTTTATGCTGCATGCTGGAATAGAAGGAATCGTGTGGTGCTGAGGGAACCTGTCCCCTAAC
The DNA here is from genome assembly GCF_000001405.40 of Homo sapiens. Lineage (NCBI taxonomy): Eukaryota > Metazoa > Chordata > Mammalia > Primates > Hominidae > Homo > Homo sapiens. The sequence goes on along the minus strand of NC_000022.11, from coordinate 36,584,707 downwards.
CCAGACCAGAGGAGGTCCTTCCATAAGAGTTCCCTAGAGAAGGTGGCACCAGAGCCAATTCATTCATTCATTCACTCGAGAGATATTTACTAAGCACTCACTGAGTGCCAGCACTATTGTCAGTCCTGGGGATCCAAGAGTGAACCAAATAAAGAGGGCCAGTGCCTTCGTGAAGGTTACATCCTAGTGTAAGAAACAAGTAATAAACAAGTGTGAAACACCCTGTCCCTGCCCTCTGCACCCTGAGATAGTTTTGTTGTTGTTGTTGTTGCTGTATCTTGCTCTTTCATCCAGGCTGGAGTGCAAGTAATGCCAAACCTCTGCTTCCCGGGTTCAAGCGATTCTCCTGCCTCAGCCTCCCGAGTAGCTGGGATTACATGCATGCGCCACCATGCCTGGCTAATTTTTTTGTATTTTTAGTAAAGATGGGGTTTCACCATGTTAGCCTGGCTGGTCTTAAATTCCTGGCCTCAGGTGATCCGCCTGCCTCAGCCTGCCAAAGTGCTGGGATTACAGGCGTGAGCCACCACGCCCGGCCCCAGCTGAGATAGTTTCTGAGTGGTCTGGGAGGGGTTGGAGAGTGGAGAGTGATGGGGGAGGGGCCAGTGGGTCCTGAGGGCATGTCACTTAGATAAGGTGGTCCCAAAGTTTCCCTGAGTAAAGAAAGGGAACCAGGTAAGAAGATTTCTGGGGAAGAGAGTAGCTGATGGAGAGAATAGCAAGAGCAAAGTCCTTAAAGCAGGCACAGAGCATCATGTTTGAGGATCAGAGGGGTAGCTGGTCTTGCAGGAGCCCAGTGCAGGGGTGGAGTGGGGTCCTACAGCAGAGACAGCAGAGGAACCCAGTCATGTGGGCCTGGGACCAGGGGGAGACCTCAGCTCTCATTCTAAGTGTGATGGGAATGACCGATTTAGACACATCAGCCTGGCTGCTGTGGTAGTGACGGTTGGAAACAGAGGCAGGGAGCCCAGGATGGGGGAGAGGGGGCAACCAGAGTGTAGCCATGGTGATGGTGAGAAGGAAGGAGATGTTTGGGAGACAGAGCTGACAGCAGCAGGGGTGGCCACTGATGGGGCATGGGCCATGGGGCAGGGAACAGATTTCAGGATAGGGACGGAAGTGAAAGGAGAGGGAAGGAGCAGTCAAGCAACTCTTCTTTCTCCCCAAAAAGCAGATTCCAACCCATGTAGAGCATCTCCTAAGGGACTTGGGGCTTGTTTTCCAGGTTCCCAAATAGCTCCTCAATTAATTCTTTTTTTTTTTTCTTTTTTTTTTGAGACGGAATCTTGCTCTGTCACCCAGGCTGGAGTGCAGTGGTACAATCTTGGCTCACTGCAACCTCTGCCTCCTGGGTTCAAGCAATTCTCCTGCCTCAGCCTCCTGAGTAGCTGGGATTACAGGCACCCGCCACCACATCTGGCTAATTTTTGTATTTTTAGTAGAGACGGGATTTTGCCATGTTGACCAGGTTGGTCTCGAATTCCTGACCTCAGGTGATCTGCCCACCTCAGCCTCCCAAAGTGCTGCGAATAGGTGTGAGCCACCATGTCCAGCCCTAAATTAATTCTTCCTGGAAAAGCAGAGGTGTGAGCTGGATGGGGCACAATCCATGCCTTCCGGAGTATTCCTAAACCCAAGACCTCTGCAGCATGAGGAACTGGACCAACCTGAGCCCCACCAGGAACGCACAACGCTTGGGCCCCTTAAATTTCCTATGAAGTCACAAGGTCCATGAAACAGATGTAGCGTCTTCCTTCACTTGTAAGTGTGAGCAATTCACACACTCCACAGATCTTTCTGGAGTGGGCCCCCCTGTATGCCAGGCCCTCTTTGAGGTACTGAGGTTATGGCCCTCAGGGTACTTGCAGTCTGCAAAAAATGAAACTAACAGGTGAATGATATAACATGTTAGACTAAGATAAGCCCTATGGGGAAAAAAGTCAAGCAGGGACGGGGGATGGGGAATTCTAGAGTAGGGATGGGATCAAGAATGAACAGTGGCCAGGCGTGGTGGCGGGTGCCTGTAATCTCAGCACTTTGGGAGGCCAAGGTGGGCAGATCACCTGAGGTTGGGAGTTCGAGACCAGCCTGACCAACATGGAGAAACCCCGTCTCTACTAAAAATACCAAAAAATTTAGCCAGGCGTGGTGGTGCATGCCTGTATTCCCAGCTACTCAGGAGGCTGAGGCAGGAAAATCATTTGAACCCAGGAGGTGGAGGTTGCAGTGAGCTGAGACCATGCCATTGCACTCCAGCCTGGACAACAAGAGCAAAACTCTGTCTCAAAAAAAAAAAAGAAAGAAAGAAAGAGCAAACAGCAAGTGCAAAGGTCCTGGGTTGGGAGCATGCCTGGAATATCTGAGGAATAGGACTGAGCCCCGTGAGACAAGAAGAGAGTGAGCAAGGAAGAGCAAAGGAAGAGCAAGTGTGGAGAGCCTCAAGGACCCTGTGGGTTGCAGCGAGAATTTGGGGGTTTGCTCTGATTGACAGACACCATCTCACTTTTGAACAGGCTCTGGCTGTTGTGTTCATAAGGGACTGAAATCGGACCAGGGCAGAAGCCGACAGAAGAGTTAAAACTCTGTTGCTATAATTTAGGCAGGAGGTGATGACAGCTTGAACCAGAGTGGTAGCAGTGAAGGGGGTGAAATAGGATCAATGTTGAAAATATTTCCAGGGCACCGCACACAGGATTTTCTGAAAGGCTGAATGTGGATTTCGAGACAAAGGAAGGAGGCAAGGATGGTGCCAAGGGGCCGTGCCCATGGGGGAACAACAGGTTGAGACTGGGGCTCAATATCAGACATATTCAGTTAGAGATGCCTGTGGGACTTCCTGGGACAATGTCACGGGCTCGGTATGGACCTGAGGCCAGGGTTCACAGGAGAGGTCCTGGCCAGAGATAGTGAGTTTTCACGTTGTTGGCACGTAGGTGATATTTAAAGCCATGAAACTCAATGAACTCACCGAGGGAGTGGCACAGAGAGAGAAGGGGAGAAGCCCAGACACTAAGCTCCAGGACACCACGAAGGCTTAGGGGCCAGTGAGATGAGGACACTCCAGGAAAGGGGGCTGAGCAGGAGTGGCCAATGAGGTGTCTGGGGTAACTCCCACCATCCTTGCTACACCAGCTGGACTGGGGATGTAGAGCAGAGAGGGAGGACAGAGAATGCCAGAAGAGCATGGCTGGACAGCAGTTCAGAGCTCATCTCCGGGGGTGGAAAGGATGGTGGGGCTCACCGCGCTCAAGCCAGCAGGCCAAGCTTAAGATGTTGTCCAGCCTCTTGGAGGGCTTGGCAGAAGGAAGGCACTCAATTAATATCTGATGGACGAATGAATGAATGAATTAATGAATGGACACTCTTACTCCCCAGTGCCTATGAGTAACTGAGGAGTCCCCCAGCCTCTCCTGAACCACACTGATAGAGAAACAGCTATAGGAGTCCCTCATCACTACCCCGGCCTCCATAAAGCCATGACCAATATGGATTTCGCCCCACCTATAACTGGCTTACCCAGTAATGAATGTGACTGGACTGTTTCTCCCAACCAGCGCTGTGGGCCCATCGAATGTGTCTGCTGTGGCAGCCTCCATATCCTCTTCCCTCATTAACCAAAGATTAAGGAGCGTGGTGAGGAACGAGGCTGTGGTGACCGGGGTGTGACTTCTCTTGAATGTCAAGCGTGCATCCATGCATCTGTCTTTGTGCATGAGGGCATGAGTCTGTGCTGTGTTCTGTGTCTTTCGGTACCCGCATGTCTGTGTGTTTGAGTGTCTATGTCTGAATGTGTAAGCGCTTGTGTGTTTGCACATGTCTGTGTGTATGTGGGTCCCTGTGTGTTGTGTGTGTGTATGTGTGCGTGTTGTGTCCAGGAGATGGGAGGTGACATTTCCTAGCTGTCCTATTGTGATTTGGAGTAAGGGAAGAAGAATCAGAGGAATTTGGCTTCCTCCAACAGTCATGTATTAAGCACCTACTGTGTGCCAGACCCCAAAATCCACTCTATTGTGGCCACTCATTGTCCAGGACTGCGGGGTATGGTCAGGTCTCCCCACTCCATACTCAGAGCCTGGGGCTGGAGGTGTGGGTGAGGGGCCCAGGGCTGGCTGCTGTCTCTGACGTACTCCCTCCAGGGGGTGTGACACAGGCCACACACACAGGCCTCAATGGGGGGATCACCAGGCCACACTCCATAGCCAGAAGTGGAGAGAAGGGGGAAGGGAGGCAGGCCCTCATCAAAGCAGATGCCCCCACTCAGCTCCCCACAACACACACAAGAGAGGTACACCCAGTTGCGCTTAAATTTGACACCTCCCCAGGGATTCACTGACCACCTGAGGACGATGACAGGCAGCCTGGGGGAAGCCAACAGCAGGAGTGGAACCAAGGAGGGAGGCAGAAGGCGGCCAAGGCAGGGAGGACCCATACGATGGCCGTCTGGGGGGTGAATTTACAGAACTTGGACACCAGTGGGAGGCAGGCTTTGGCACACTCGGGGCTTCAAATCCAGCTCTGCCACTTCCCGGTGAACCTCCCTGGGCCTCGGTTTCCTTGCAATGGGGATGATGCTCATTGTCATCTTCCTAGCATTGCCATGAGGATTAAGGGAGTTAGAGTCGGACAGCAATTCGCACCTGCCCCGAACCCAGTGAGCATTCAGCAGGCATTCGCCACAATCCGTGTTCACTGTCGCATCCCATTGCAGAGCGATTGCCACGATCCATGCTCACTGTTGTGTCCCATTGCATAGCGATGAGCGCAAAGAACAAAGAGGAAACAGGGAGGAGAGATGGGCGCCCGGGGAGGGCTTCAGTTTGCAACAGGGTGGTCAGAAAGTCCTTGTGGCAAAGGTGACATTGAAGCAGAGACCTAAAGGAGGTGAGGGAGTGCTTGGGAGGTGCATATATCCTGGAAGAGCATTCAGGCAGAGGGAACCGCCAGTGCAAAGCATCTGAAGCTGGCAGGTTCATAACAGCCAGGACGCCCTGTGATAAGCAGACGAGGGGAAGGCAGGTGGCAGAAGGGGTGGGGACCAGGACTTGGGAGCCTCTGCTTTCCTCTGAGATGAGACCACCACGGGTGGGTTCTGAGCAGGGGACAGGCATGGTCTGATGTCCAGGCTACCAGTATCACTCCAGCTTCTGCAGGAGAGGGAGACCACTTAGGAGACCACAGCTATCTCCAGGCTCAAAAGGCAGGTGCTCGGGCCCGGTAGTGGAGAGGTGGCTGAGAAGGGGTTTGATCCTATATGTATTTGACAAGACAGCCGGCAGCTTTTTTTTTTTTTTTTTTTTTTTTTTGAGACAGAGTTTCACTTTTGTTGCCCAGGCTGGAGTGCAGTGGTATGATCTCAGCTCACTGCAACCTCCACCTCCTGGGTTCAAGTGATTCTCCTGCCTCATCCTCCCAAGTAGCTGGGATTACAAGTGTCTGCCACCACGCCCAGCTAATTTTTTGTATTTAGTAGAGACGGGTTTTTACCATGTTGGTCAGGCTGGTCTCAAACTCCTGACCTCAGGTGATCCACCCACCTCGGCTTCCCAAAGTGCTGGGATTACAGGTGTGAGCTATCATGCCCAGTCGAGCTGGCAGCTTTTACTGACAGCCTGGATGGGAGAAGTAAGAGAGAGGTCTTGTGGATGGCGAGGAGTTCTGGCTGGCAGATGGGGCAAACATTACTGCCCTTCTCTGAGGCTGGGAATGTAGGACGAGGCTGCTGTGCGGGGAGGTGACCACTCTATTGCCGGTCTGTTTCATCTTGGTTTCTGTTACGGAATCTTCTCCCCACGGACTGTGAACAGCTTGAGGACACCACAAGGAGTGGCTGCAAATAGAGTGTCCTCCTCCCACCCATCCACCCCCTCCAGCACAGGGCCTTTCCCAGGATCAGACCCAGGAGAGGTTTGCTAAGTGAATAAACAAGGTACCGCCCGCCCTAGGGCAGCTGGCATGTTCACCCTCTTCCCAGAATGAGGTCAGAGGAGGATATTGGGTGTCAACCTGGGCCAGAGCCACCCTTCCTGGCCTCAGACAGTGTCCCTCCTTCCCATTGCCCCTCTCTCCCCACCTCCACCAGTCCCACCAGGGAACATGAGCCAGGGAAGTGTGGGGAGACCAGGTGTCAAAACCCGAGGTTGTTACTTAGAATAAAAGGGCCTGAATTCAAGGGGTGCTCCACTCTGTGACCTTTGGCAAGTTACACAACTTCTCTGAGCCTCCCGTGAACAGTGCTTTTTTAGGTCTCCCCAGAGCCCCAGTGGAACAGCATGAGGGGCGTCCACCAGGCTTCACCCGCCTAGAGTTTTAGAAGTGTAATGATCCATCATTCCGGCTTTTTTTTTTTTTTTGAGATTGAGTCTCGCTCTGTCACCCAGGCTGGAGTGCAGTGGTGCCATCTCGGCTCACTGCAACCTCCGCCTCCTGGGTTCAAGCAATTCTTCTGTCTCAGTAGCTGGGATTACAGGTGCACGCCATCACACCCAGCTAATTTTTTGTATTTTTTTTTAGTAGAGACGGGGTTTCACCATGTTGGCCAGGTTGGTCTCAAACTCCTCACCTCAAGTGATCTGCCAGCCTTGGCCTCCCAAAGTGCTGGGATGACAGGTGTGAGCTACCGCACCCAGCCCATCATCCTAGCTTAGGATCACCCAGCCCCACCCTCCCATTTTACAGATGAGGGAAAAACGGAGGCCCAAGAGGGAAAATGACCTGCCCCAGCCCGGCACACTTTCTGGGACTGCACCCTGGGAGCATTATCCAGGTCCATTATCCTGCTACCTGTCCACTGCCCAGGGCTCTCAGCCCCTTCTAGAAAACATTGCCATGAGGGGGCTTCTGAGAGACATCCCCTCCAGAAGTCATCACAACCAGTGCGGCTAAAACTATTGTGACCCCACCCCATGGTTAGGAAACATCTAAGCTGCCACTTGTACTCACTCACATCTGCAGAACCAGAGCAAAATGTTCCCCAAAAGCCACCCAGCCTTCCTGAACGCACACTGGCCGGCAGTTTCTATTCTGTCCTAGTTCATTTCTTTTTTTTTTTTTTTTTTTTCCAAGACGGAGTCTCACTCTGTCGCCAGACTGGAGCGCGGTGGCATGATCTCGGCTCACTGCAACCTCCGCCTCCCCGGTTCAAGCGAGTCTCCTGCCTCAGCCTCCCAAGTAGGTGGGACTACGGGCCTGCGCCACCACGCCTGGCTCATTTTTGTATTTTTAGTAGAGACCGGGTTTCACCATGTTGGCCAGGATGGTCTCGATCTCTTGACCTCGTGATCCACCCGCCTCGGCCTCCCAAAGTGCTGGGATTACAGGTGTGAACCACCGCGCCCGGCCCCGGTTCATTTCTTTAAGGGCTGGTTGCTACCACTACACCGATTTCATGACCTAGTAATGAGTCACAACCCACACTTTAATAAATAGCAGCCTCAGTAACCCAAAGCCCGGTGAGAGACAGCAACAATTTGCTCCGCTGGAATGATGAGCACGATTTGCTGGTGCTCCTCGCATACCAGACATTATTCTCATTGCTTCAAGTGTGTGTACTCAGTTACTCCTCATAGCACCCTGTGAGCTAAGTGTGCTTGTGATCTCCATATGGCAGAGGGGGCAGCAGAGGCCCCCGGGGGACCAGGTCACAGCTAGGAAGATGGACTCCGGCAGCCTTTCTCCTGAGCCTGTGCGACTGGTCACCAATCTCTACTGACAGCAGGAAGCAGGGATGTATCCGGCATCCTGCACAGATGGTACTCCCCAAGTTAGCTCCCTGGGCTCTCAAAATGCTTTTCATGTGCTATTATATATAGCACACGTTCATTGAACACTTGACGATGTGCCAGGCCTGACACTTGAAACATTATCTTAATTCATCTTCACAACCACCCTATGAGGGTGAGATGATCAGTGTCCCCATCACACAGATGGGAAAGGCAAGGCACAGAGGCTACAGAGCCAGTGGGGGTCCAGGAGGAGACCCCAAGCGGGCTGCATCTGGAACCCATGCTCCAAACCATAGCGTTTGACTTCTCTTTCTATTTCTCACCCACCATCTTTGTTCTCCTCTTTCTTCTTTGAGGTCTTTCTGACTCTCTCTCTCTCACACACACACACACATACACACACACACACACACGCACACACAGAGGCATTTTGGAGTGTTTTTTTTTTTAATTTTTTATTTCCAGAGGTTGTTGGGGAACAGGTGGTGTTTGGTTACATGAGTTAGTTCTTCAGTGGTGATTTGTGAGATTGTGGTGCACCCATCATCCAAGCAGGACACAATGAACCCAATTTGTAGCCTTTTATACCTCATCCTCTCCCCACCCTTTCCCCCTGAATCCCCAGAGTCCATTCTATCATTCTTATGCCTTTGCATCCTCGTAGGTTAGCTCCCACTTATGAGTGAGAACATATAATGTTTGGTTTTCCATTCCTGAGTTACTTCACTTAGAATAATAGTCTCCGATCTCACCCAGGTTGCTGCAAATGCCATTAGTCATTCCTTTTTATTGCTGAGTAGTATTCCATCATATTTATACCACAGTCTTTATCCACTCATTGATGGATAGGTATTTGGGTTGGTTCCACAATTTTGCACTTGCAAATTGTACTGCTATAAACATGCATCACACAGGCATTTTTTGAAACGCATCCCTTCTCACGGCCATTGGCTACACCAGCCAGCACAGCGTGGAAGGAGAAGATGGGAAGAGATGCCCAAGAGACTAGAAAGCTCCTTGCAACCCAGCAGGTCTGTGCAGGTCTGTGACTGTAGACTGTATCCCCTAATGCGGATTGATCCTAATGATCCTAATTCATCCTAATGATGAGTCAAATCCCAGATGGGATAAGAGCATAACACTAGGCACAGAAAATGAGGAACCTGCCCGCTACATACCTGATTACGGTGACTATTTTGATTCAAGGTCATTACTCGCACAGGGAACAGGTAAGGCAGCAGCATGGCCTGGCTGTATGGGCCCTGGGGAGAGGTCTTGATGGGCACGGGACCATCATTGAGGGACAGGGCCTTAGAGATCGTCTACTCCAACCTCATCAGAGTGCAGATCTGAGGCCAGAGAAGGAATAGCACATGCTCAGGTCCCGTGGAGAGCTAGGCAAAGAGTGCACAGCAGGCCCAGGTCTCCTGACCTCCCCCCGTCGTCACATCCCCACCCCCACTGACCACCAGCCCACCCTCCTCCGCTGCCAGACACAGTGAGAAAACCTCGGGGCCCCGCGTGCCCTGTCTGGCCTGGCCTCTGGCTATGCCCACCATGAAGCACCATGTCACAGCGTGATGGCCAGAGAGGCTGGGGCCCACCGAGGCACAAGATCACAAGATGATTTGTCTAGGGAGTTTGGCCAAAAAGCAGATTTGCAAAGAACAGATAGCTCAGGCCACCCGTTCCAGAAGGCAAGATGTCGCTTGCCTCCTGGGCACTTAGGATACTCTTTATTTCTGTCACCCTCATAGAAAATAATAAATTGCTCATAGTTCACTGACATCCTGCATTTTCTAAAGCGTCCACATTCCTCTTCCTGCTTAATCCCTGTAACCCAGTAAGGTAGACGGAGTTAGGATTTTCATTTCCATTTTACAGAAAAGGAAATTGGGGCCAAGGAACACTATTATTTGCCCAAGGTCTTCTTGAGATGGTCACTAACCATTGGGGCTCCCCAAGCCTCAGGCCTAAGCCTCTCTTCATCCATAGGCAAGCTCTCTGTGTGTCTGTGAGATAGCTTCAACCCAGATGGCACCCCTGTGCTCCACATCTGCACACCCAACTGCCCCACCCACACTCTACATGCACATCCCCAAGGCATCTCAAACTCAGCATGTCCAAAACCAAACCTTTGATCTTCCTCCTCTAGTCTCTTTTTTTGTTTGTTTTGTTTTGTTTTGGTTTTGTTTTGTTTTGTTGAGACAGAGTTCCGCTCTTGTTGCCCAGGCTGGAGTGCAATGGCACAATTTTGGTGCACGGCAACCTCCACCTCCCAGGTTCAAGCAATTCTCCTGCCTCAGCTTCCCAAGTAGCTGGGTTTACAGGGATGCGCCACCACCCCTGGCTAATTTTGTATTTTTTTAGTAGAGATGGGGTTTCACCATGTTGGCCAGGCTGGTTTCGAACTCCTGACCTCAGGTGATCCACCGGCCTCAGCCTTCCAAAGTGCTGGGATTACAGGCGTGAGCCACCTCGCCCAGGCTCCTCCCCTACTCTCTACTCACTGCTAGGCTGGGTCCTCTCCCAGTCCCCCTAAGTGGTTTTTTCCACCCAGCTGGCAAGTCTGAAACCTAGAAGTTAACCTCAACGCCACCCTCTTCACTACCCATATCCATCCATCAAGCTTCAATTCACCTCCTAAACATCTCTCAGACACATCTGCCTCTGTCCATGCCCTTTGTACCTACCCTGGCCCAAGCACCGGCATCACTCCTCTCCGATCAGCTGCAGTAGCCTTCTCACTGCTTCCCTGGAGCCACCCTTGACCCCTTCGTAATCCGTTTGCTTCTTAAGATGCAAATCAGATCATGACAGCCCTGCCTGTTCTAAGCCCTTTAAAGTTTCCCATTGCTCTTGGGATAAAGCTAAGCTCTTTAGCTCAACTCATGAGGCCCCACGTGGCCCAGACCCGCCTGCCTCCTCTCCTTAGGTGCTCCCCACACTCCTCCACTGGCTCCTCCCTTCAGTGCTCCCCACACTCTTCCACTGGCTCCTCGTGATCCAGCCTTCTTCCAGGTCTCTGAAGGAGCCATGCCTCCTCCACCTTCGGCTCCTGCTGCTCTCTCTCCCACAGCCCTGCCTTCATTGTGCCTAATCAGCTGCTCCTTATTCGCCAGAGGTCAGCTCTACCACCACTTCCTCAGGGAGACCTGTCCTGATCCCCACATAAGCTCAGAGGATGCTTTGAAGGGCAGCAAAGTGTAGAGCCTGAAAAGAAGGGAATGCAGTGGTTAGACACACAGACCCTAGAGTCAGACTGCCTGGATTCACAAATCTTGAACAAATGGCTTAACCTCTCCTTGCTTCAGTTTGGTCTCTGTAGAGTGGGGATAATTAAAATACCTATATAGGCCATGTGTGGTGGCTCACGCCTGCACTCCCGGCACTTTGGGAGGCTGAGGCAGGCATATCATTTGAGGCCAGAAGTTCGAGACCAGGCTGGCCAACATGGTGAAACCCCGTCTCTACTAAAAATACAAAAATTAGCCAGGTGTGATGGCACATGGCCTGTAATCTAAGCTACTTGGGAGGCTGAGACACAAGAATCACTCAAACCCAGGAGGCAGAGGTTACAGTGAGCCGAGATCACGCCACTGCTCTCCAGCCTGGGTGACAGAGCAAGACTCTGTCTCAAAAAAATAATAATAATAATTAAAAAGTAAAAAACAAAAGCATTGGATTTGAATCCAGGTCTATCACATTTCAGAGGCCATACTATTATATGCTGCTTAAGATAATGCAATAAGTAGAACTAAAATAAATTTAAAAAATAAAAATAATATGAAGTACTTACTTCACAGAGTTGTAATGAGAACTAACGAGTTTGTGTATGTGCAGTGCTCAAAACAGTCCTCGGCATACTCTAAGCTCTCTATGGACATTAGTTGTCTACATGTGACATTAGCCTGTCACATACCCTCATGGTGCCATATAGGTACTTTTCTTTCATAGCACGTTATCCAGGCTGTGTGATTATCTGATGGCATACATGTCCTTCATGAGAGTATAAGCTCTAGAAAGACATGAACCAGGCCTGTTTTGGACCCCTCATGTCTCTCATGCCAAGCCCAGGTCTAGCACAGCGGTGGGCACTCAGTCCATATTTGCTCACTGGATTCACAGCTAGCCTAGAGCAAAGCATCTCCCTGCTCTGGACCACGTGGCCTTTTCCCCAGTATAGAGTATACTCTTGGCCACAGCTGGCCAAGTATGACTAGCAGGCCAAATCCAGCCCATCCAGCCCACCACCTGATTTTTTTTTTTTTTTTGAGATGGAGTCTCACTCACTCTGTCACCCACTGCCCAGGCTAGAGTGCAGTGGCTTGATCTCAGCTCACTGCAACTTCTGCCTCCTGGGTTCAAACGATTCTCCTGCCTCGGGCTCCCGAGTAGCTGGGACTACAGGCATGCGCCACCACGCCGGGCTAATTTTTGTATTTTTAGTAGAGATGGGGTTTCGCCATATTGGCCATGCTGGTCTCGAACTCCTGACCTCAAGTGATCCAGCCCCCTCGGCCTCCCAAAGTGATTTTGTAAATAAAGTTTTATTGGAAGACAACCACGTTCATTTGTTTACATATTGTTTATGGCTGTTTATGTGCTACAACTGCAAAGTTAAGAAATTGCAACTGAGACCATATGGCCAGCAAAGATGAAAATATTTGCTGTCTTTCCCTTCACAGAACAAGTTTGCCAGTGTCAGCTTTAGGCGTGTGTAATCTCCTTGAAGCCAAAGCCCATGGCTTCATGGGGCTGGTATGAGGTTTACACCGCTCTTAGAACAAGGCCTGGTACAGGGGAGGGGCTCCATAAATGTTGTCAGGTAATGTGAAGTGCCATATGCTTACTCATAGGAGACCAGTAAATATTTGTTCATTAAATAAATCAGATATTTCCTGACTCTTGTGATAGATTTTGGCAACAAGACCATGCTTGGCTTTGTAGGAAGTGAGGACAATTTATAGGGAAGTTATGCCTGGACTGATGTTTTGGGAAGAGGGACCTCAGAAATAAAAATTGCTACCTTTTACTGTGCAACTTCTAGTGTGAGACACAGTAAAAGGTAGGACCCAATTTAATTCTTTTTTTTTTTTTTTTTGTTTTTGAGACAGAATCTTGCTGTGACGCCCAGGCTGGAGTGCAGTGGTGAGATCCTGGCTCACTGCAACCTCTGCCTCCCGCGTTCAAGCGATTCTCCTGCCTCAGCCCCCCAAGTAGCTGGGGCTATGGGTGTGCACCACCATGCCCAGCTAATTTTTTTATTTTTGGTAGAGACGAGGTTTCATCATATTGGCTAGGCTGGTCTTGAACTCCTGACCTCAAGTGATCCACCAGCCTCGGCCTCCCAAAGTGCTGGGATTACAGGTGTGAGCCACCGAGCCCAGCCCCAATTTAATTCTTATAACAGCACTTCTCAAACTTTCATATGCATGCAAATCTTGCTCTGGGGATCTCATTAAAATGGAGATTATGACTCAGTTGGGGGAAAGAGCTGAGGGGCGGCATTTCTTTTTTCTTTTTTTCTGAGATGGAACCTCGCTCCGTCACCCAGGCTAGAGTGCAGTGGCGAAATCTCAGTTTACTGCAACCTCTGCCTCCCGGGTTCAAGCGGTTCTCCTGCCTCAGCCTCCCAAGTAGCTGAGATTACAGGCACTTACCGTCACGCCCGGCTAATTTTTGTATTTTTAGTAGAAGCAAGGTTTCGCCATGCTGGCCAGGTTGGTCTCGAACTCCTGACTTCATGTGATCCGCTCACCTCAGCATCCCAAAGTGCTGGGATTACAGGCATGAGCCACCATGCCTGGCAGGGCTGCCTTTCTAATCAGATGCCAATGCCGCTGGGCCTCAGGCCACACTTGCAGCAGCAAGGCCTTACAACATTCCTATAAGCTAAATATTATTTTTACTATTCCCATTTCACAGGATGGGGAAACTGAGGCTCAGAGCAGTAATGACCCTTGCCCAAGGGTCACACTGTTGATAACTGACAAAGCGAGGATTCAAAGTCAAGTGTGACTAACTCCAAAATCCCCATTCCGTTTGTGACACTACCCAGCCAGAAATACCTCCTTCAAGAAACGTCTCCAATGTAGAAGTCCCTGCTTGCTCCTAAACCAGCTTCCTTCCCACCTGGATCTGGGCCCTGCCAAGTCTAGTGGCCTAAGCATGGTGCTATTTGCTGGTTGCCCACTGTTGCCTTTTTTTTTTTTTTTTTTTTTGAGATGGAGTCTTGCTCTGTTGCCCAGGCTGGGGTGCAGTGGCGCGATCTCAGCTCACTGCAACCTCCGCCTCCCAAGTTGAAGCTATCTTCCTGCCTCAGCACCCCCAGTAGCTGAGACTACTGACACGCACCACCATGCCCGGCTAATTTTTGTGTTTTTTTCAGTAGAGACGGGGTTTCACCATGTTAGCCAGGCTGGTCTCGAACTCCTGACCTCAGGTGATCCACCCACCTCTGCCTCCCAAAGTGCTGGGATTACAGGCGTGAGCCACCGCGCCCGGCCTGTTGCCTTCTTTCTGGGCAAAGAGGCCTCTTCCACGAAAGGCCAGAGCTTGGGGCTGGCTCTTCTGTGCCGAAGAGGCTTCTGTTTGTATTCCCCGCTGGTGGTCATTATTTAGAGCATGTCATACGCTGCCTTGGTGGCTTCTGAAGCCGTTCTGATTCCTCCACATTGCTCTTTGCTGGCTGCAACACAGCAGACCCCTCCCTGCTCTCCCGCCGCCCTCCATCTTGTCCACACATGCCTGGCCTCTGGCTGCCCACACGCATGCATCCCAGCTCCCTCCGCAGCCGACGCTCCCTCCCCCTGCTGGCAGGAGGGCTGAGCTGGGGCATCCGGGTTCCCACAGCAGATGGGGCTCAACTGGAAAAATCAAGCCCTGGGCTGCTGTGAGTCCATTTGCTGTGAGGGCACAATTGGGTCGGCGACCTGCAGGCATCCTGTGGGTAGTAAGACCCCACTTTCTTGGAGGGGGAAGGCCAGAGCCTTTCTTCTGCCTGTTCCTCTGAGCTGCTGCTGCTGCGCCTCGGAAGCCACACCGACCTCTTTCTTTCTTTCCTTCTCTCTTCTGTCATTCCCCTTTGTGGCTGGCCAGGACCATGTCCACATGGAAAGGGCAGAGCTATTAGAAACTATCTAACGGCCGGGCGCGGTGGCTCAGGCCTGTAATCCCAGCACTTTGGAAGGCCGAGGCCGGTGGATCACCTGAGGTCATGAGTTTGAGACCAGCCTGGCCAACATGGCGAAAACCCATCTCTACTAAAAATACAAAAATTAGCCGGACATGGTGGCGGGCGCCTATAATCCCAGCTACTTGGGAGGCTGAGGCAGGAGAATTGCTTGAACCCCGAAGACGGAGGTTGCAGTGAGTCAAGATCACGCCACTGCACTCCAGCCTGGGGTATAGAGCAAGACTCTGTATCTAAAACAAACAAACAAAAAGAAACCATCTAACAGGCCATACCCCATGTTACACAGGGGAAAAACAGAGGAAGTGAGCACCCGCCTTAGCCACACAGCAAGTGAGTGGCACAGGTGGGACCCAAACCCAGTTCTCCAGGCCCTGTGGCACTCACCCTTCCTGGGCTCCTTGGAAGCCACATAGGGAGACTACAGGGTGCTCCAAAAGTTGAGCTGGTCTGGATATGAATCCTGGTTCACTAGCTGGGTGGCAGGGGAGTTTCTCTCTCTGAACCTCAATTTTCTTGTCTGTAAATTGGGGCAAAAAAACACACCCTGCCGGACTGTTATGAGGATGAAATTATATCATATATGTTAGGTACCTGCTCAAGACCCAACACCGAATGGGTGTTTAACAAATATTCTCTCTCTTCTCCTGGGTTTTCAGTAAGCTCTCACCATCCTCATGTGCTTATAAAGATGAGAGTTAAGGTGGCTTTTTAGTCATGCATGTCTGTCACGCGTGGGTGTGGATGTGGGTGTGTTTGGGCTGGGGGATCAGGTTAGGGATACAGCGTGTTGTCTTAGCAATGATTTGCAAGGAGAGAACACCTCCCTGGGGTCTGTGGAGGAGCAGCCCCATCCCGCCCAAGAGAAGGAGGGTGCTGAGGCTGCAGAGTAGCCCAGCCACCCCAAGCCCCCATCCTCCCACCCCTGCTTCCCTATATGCAGCTCAGTTTTGCCCCAAGAGCCCTGCCCTTCTTCAGGTCCCCCCCAAATAACCCACTCACCCATTTGTGAGCAGTGTAGACTATGCTGCAGATCCATGGTGAGGACAGAAGAAGAGTTTTCACATCACACACATCTCAGCAAACTGCCTAAAATCCCCTTTTAACGCCTGTAATCCCAGCACTTTGGGAGGCCGAGGCGGGCAGATCACTTGAGGTCAGGAGTTCAAGACCAGCCTGGCCAACATAGCGAAACCCCGTCTCTACTAAAAATACAAAAACTAGCCAGGTGTGATGGCGCACACCTGTAGTCCCACCTACTTGGGAGGCTGAGGCAGGAGAATCGCTTGAACCTGGGAGGTGGAGGCTGCAGTGAGCCGAGATCACACCACTACACTCCAGCCTGGGCAACAGAGCAAGACTCCATCTCAAAAAATAAAAATAAAAATAAATTTTAAAAAAGAAAAAGAAAAATCCCTACAGTTCTATATAGAGAAATTCTCTTCTCACAGATCCTTCTTGAACACACTCCCACCCAAAAGGGTGGGGACGGGGATGGGGATAAGAGGAAGCTCCGCTCCTGGCACATTCCCCTCCAAAACCAACCTCCCTGACCAATCCCTGGGCTTGGCCAAAGGGTCCTGTAATTATCAGGACTCAACTTCCTTAGAAACCACTTAAGCACCATTTAAAGAAGACATCTTTGGCCAGGCACGGTGGCTCAAGCCTGTAATCCCAGCACTTTGGGAGGCCAAGGTGGGCAGATCATGAGGTCAAGAGTTTGAGACCAGCCTGGCCAACATAGTGAAACCCCATCTCTACTAAAAGTACAAAAATTAGCCAAGCATGGTGGTACACGCCTGTAGTCCCAGCTACTTGGGAGGCTGAGGCAGGAGAATCACTTGAACCCAGGAGGCAGAAGTTGCAGTGAGCCGAGATTGCACCACTGCACTCCAGCCTGGGTGACAGGGGAAGACTCCGTCTCAAAAAATAATAATAATAAAGAAGACATATTTTCCCTCACCCCTGCCTCAAGCCAGCTCTGCCTCCTGCCTAGCCCATGGCTCCCAGGACACGGAGCTGGGTCCTGAGGTCACTCACTGCCTATTTGAATTTGGATTAAAAAAAAAATGTTTTACTTCGCAAAGACACTTTGTGAAGGGCTCCCCAACACCTCTGGGTCCTCATTCAGGTGCTGCTCCCCCCACAAACACATGTAGCCCCGACCTCTGCCCTTAGCCACCTGTCCCCCTTTTCCCCCATCCACCCCCAACTGTAGGAGCCCTGGCCCTCACCTTCTGTTTCTCCCTTTTCATTACCATATTCTTTTCTTCTCCGGTCCTGTTTGTCAGTCCTTATCTAGAGGGGTTTCTCTTCTTACTTTGTTTTCTTTGCAATGTGCCTGTTCCTTCCTTCTGGACCACGACCCCACATTTATTCACTTAATGAGCTTCTATTGGCAGACTACTGTGTCGTTGAACAGAGAGGATAAAGACAAGAAACTTTTTCTTTGTAAAGCCACAGTCCTTGTCTCACGACCCATGGTTCATGGTGGAAGCATATGTATACACAAATATTTATTATAATATCATGCATTGAATGTTTATTATAGACACCAGAAACTTATCTAAGTGCATTGCCTGAATCAACTCATTTAATCCTCACAACAATCTTAGGAGCTTGGCATTATTACCATCCCTGCTTTACAGATGAGGAAACTGAGGCACACAGAGGTGAGATACTTTTTCTATTGCACAGCTAATAAATGCTGCAGCCAGACTCAAATCCAACCCACGTGGTTCCACCTAACCACTATACCACACTGCCTCTCAGCGTGCCCAAGGGCCCCAAAGTGCAGACGAGGGAGCTCATAACTTTGCCTAAGGAAGTCAGGGAAGGCTTTACAGAAGAGGGGACTTCGAGCTGGGTTTTGAAGGATGAAGAAGAGTTTGCTGAGTGAAGAATAGGAAAGACATTCCAGTAGGAAGCTCTGTATTTCAAAAGTCAGCAGCATGAAATGACATGTCGTGGGAAGTTTGATGTGGTGGGACGAGAGAGAACATGAGGACTGGGAGCCGTGGGAGCTGGAAGTGGGCAGAGGCCAAGTCACACAGGGCCCTGTGTGCCTGACGGTGTGCTGGAGTTTGGCCCTGGAGGCAGTGGGGAGCTCCTGCAGGGCTGTGAGCTGGGCAGTGGCCTGCTCGCTGTCTCTCCCTCCCTAGGATTGCAAAGCAACCTCTCCTCTAAGGCTGTGTCCATAAACCCCCAGCGCCTCGGGGCTGCTCTCCCACCTGCCTCTGTGTGCCTCAGTCTCACAGCCATGCCGTTCTCTTTCTCCCTGACCCTCTGTGTTCCACAGGGGCCGTGAGGGCCTCCAGCATTTTCCCAATCCTGAGTGTGATTCTGCTTTTCATGGGTGGCCTCTGCATCGCAGCCAGCGAGTTCTACAAAACTCGACACAACATCATCCTGAGTGCCGGCATCTTCTTCGTGTCTGCAGGTAACAGCCACTGATCCAGTCCTGCCACTGGGAAGAAGGCTGGGGTGTGGGTGCTCAGGGGCCACGAGGGCCTGGCAGAGAGAGATGGGGAGAGAGGAGAGGAAATCTCCAAGACTTGCACTAGGTCGTGTTGCAGGGGAGGAAGGTGGTGGGGGGGCTCCTGTCCTGTAGCAACTCCCGAGCCTGTACCAAATCCTCCAGGAGCATCCCCACACCCCATCTTCTTCCCACCACTTGAGAAAAGGCCCAAATGCCCGCTTCCTCTCAGGGTACTTGGCCAATTGCCACTTACCCTTTCCCTTCCCGGTGCAAGTAAACCCATGAGGAGGCTGGAGAGAGGGCACCCAAGTGCCTCGCTGTTCCAACCCC
Organism: Homo sapiens; assembly: GCF_000001405.40. Classification (NCBI taxonomy): domain Eukaryota; kingdom Metazoa; phylum Chordata; class Mammalia; order Primates; family Hominidae; genus Homo; species Homo sapiens. The sequence continues at coordinate 36,565,983 of NC_000022.11, read as the reverse complement.
TATGGGATACTCAGCTTCACCTTGGAAACCAAGGGTGGACTCTCCCCTCACTGTTCTACTCAGGTGGGAGCAGGCAGGCACCCACATCCAGATGTCTGAGCCCAGTTACATGACAGATGAGTCACACTCACTTCAGATGCCAGAAAAAGAACCTGGGTGTAGCCTGAGCCATTTAATAAGAATGACCAACATCAGGCCGGGTGCAGTGGCTCACGCCTGCAATCCCAGCACTTTGGGAGGCTGAGACAGGAGGATCACTTGAGCTCAGGAGTCCGAGACCAGCCTGGGCAACACAGCGAGGCCTCAAGACCGCGTCTCTACAGAAATTTTTTTATTTTAATCAGCTGGGCATGGTGACGCATACATAATCCCAGCTACTAGAGAGGCTAAGGTGGGAGGATCGCTTGATCCCAGGAGTTTGAGACTGCAGTGAGCTGTGATCACACCACTGCACTCCAGCCTGGGTGACAGAGCAAGACTGTATCTTAAAAAAAAAAAAAGGAACCACCAACATCTAAGAGTACTCACATGTATTCACCCATTTAACCCTCTCCGTGGCCCTAAAGAGTAAGGCTTAACCTTACTCCCATTCTACAGATCTGGAAACTCAAACCAAGGTTAACTTGCGAAGGCTTTGAACGCAGGCCAGCCTGGCTCCATCAGCCCGCCTTCACCCGCTGCTACACCAGCTTTGAAGCCCTGTGCAGCCTTAAGCAAGTTCCTTAACCTCTCTGTGCTTGTTTCCTCATCTGTGCCCTGCTTGAGAAGCACCAAGCAGTGAAAGCAGGTAGAGAAGGCTCAATGAACAATATCTATTATTAGTTACTCAGCGCCTTGTGAAATGCCTCCCTTCTCCCGCCCTGCCCATGTCTGTTTCCATTAGCGCTTCCCTTGTGGCTCTCTCTGAATGGAAAGATAAAATGTTAAGGGGAAGCTTGCGGATGTCCATCTACACCGCCCCACCTGTTCATGAAGGCGCGGGACCGGGGAAGGCCCACACAGCTGTCCCCGTCCTTTACGGCTGCCCTGTGGCCGACTTCCTGAGAAACTAACGTCCTTCTCTCTGATCCCCCACCCCGCCACCCTGCGCCCCGCAGGTCTGAGTAACATCATTGGCATCATAGTGTACATATCTGCCAATGCCGGAGACCCCTCCAAGAGCGACTCCAAAAAGAATAGTTACTCATACGGCTGGTCCTTCTACTTCGGGGCCCTGTCCTTCATCATCGCCGAGATGGTCGGGGTGCTGGCGGTGCACATGTTTATCGACCGGCACAAACAGCTGCGGGCCACGGCCCGCGCCACGGACTACCTCCAGGCCTCTGCCATCACCCGCATCCCCAGCTACCGCTACCGCTACCAGCGCCGCAGCCGCTCCAGCTCGCGCTCCACGGAGCCCTCACACTCCAGGGACGCCTCCCCCGTGGGCATCAAGGGCTTCAACACCCTGCCGTCCACGGAGATCTCCATGTACACGCTCAGCAGGGACCCCCTGAAGGCCGCCACCACGCCCACCGCCACCTACAACTCCGACAGGGATAACAGCTTCCTCCAGGTTCACAACTGTATCCAGAAGGAGAACAAGGACTCTCTCCACTCCAACACAGCCAACCGCCGGACCACCCCCGTATAAAGACCGCGGGCCTCGCCAGAAGACCGCGGGAGGAGGGCGCGGTCCCCGGGGGCGGGGCGGGGCGGGGAGACCCAGACCCTCCGCTGGGAGACCTTCCAAAAGCAAAAACAAAAAACAAAAAAAACAAAAAAACAAAAAACAAAAAAACACACACACACAAAAAAAGAGAAAAAACATAACAAGTAAATTTTAAAAAAAAGAACAAAATATAAGAGGAACAAAGAAGCAAAACAACAGGAAATGTGGGAAAATATAAACGAGGGAAGAAAACAAACTTTAAAAAAAAGCGAGAGGGATAAAAAATTAAAAATAGAAAATAAATCTAAAAGAAAATGCATGATTTCCCATGTACCATTATTTTAACATTTAATAAAAATCAATTTAAATGAAAAAATAAAAGGGAACCAAGATAACATTAAAGCAAAAAAAAAAAAAATGAGAACAGAAAGGAAAGGGGATGTCCTTTGTATTTTTCAGGGTTTATGTTACTTTTTTTTTTTTTTTTTAACTCGGGGAGAGTTACTTTTCTGTTCCCTTTAACCCCCAGCGGGCCCTGCCTCCCTGGGAGATTGGGGGGCGAGACTCAGGGGCCCTGGGGCCAGGTGAGCCTGCAGTCACTGCCAGGTCCCTGGAGCCCCTGGGTGGGTGCCCCAGGAACTCCAGGAAGGCTCAGAGCTCGAGCCGGCTCCGCCCAGCATTGATGGGGCAATCGTAGGCCTCCAGGTGACCGAGCCCTTGTCCCTCCTCTCCGTTAGGGTGCCTGGAGGGGGGTACACTTGGGGCTTGCCTGGCCCCAGGTTCCCAGTCCTTAATGCTCCTTAACCCACTGTGATGACTTCCTAGGCCTTGAGGAAAGGGAAGGAGAGGGGAGGCTGCCGGTGGCTTACCAAGATGCCGGAAACCCCGGAATCCTCAGGGTGAGCCTCTTGGGGTCATGTCCCCAAGCTCCTGTCCTTGGGGTCAGGAGATGCCACCCCCCCCCCCGGGGGACATGAAACAGCTCTCCCTCCTCACCCCTCACCTCAGGGCCACCTGATGACCCTGGGGCGATGGTGGACCCCCTGACTCATAAGCCCCCCAGTCCCCTGGGAAGGGGGTTCATTGACCCTTTGGGGGTCCTTGGACTCACTGATGCCCCCTTGGGGCCCAGCGGGTTCAACAATGACACTGCAAAAAGGCTTCTTTTTACAAAAGAAAAAGGAAAAACAAGTGGTGATTTTTTTTTAATAAAAAAACCACAGACTATAAATAAATGTAAATACAAAATAAGTGGATTTACTTGCAAGAAAATCAGATAGTATTTTTCTTTTAATTCTTTTCCAGCTTTAAACTGTGAAAACAAAAAATGGGGCGGGGTGGGGGACTTAAACTTTAGCAGGGAACTTGTAAAGAAAAAAAAAACAGAAAACGAATATACAAATCCATTTACAAAAACAAAGCAAAACCGTTGTGAGAGGTGAGAGCTGGGCTTGAAGGTTGGAGGGAGTAGCGGAAGGTCCCAGTGAGCTGCAGGGGGTCTCTGTGATGGAAAGGTGGCTTCCTCAGACAAGGAAGGTGCTGCGAATGGGGGAAGACAGAATCCAACAAAGAAAGAGACCACACACCCCACACGCACACAGGCACGTTCACACACACATACACAGTCCACTTAGCCCAGCACTGCAGTCACTCACAGGGACACACTCAGTCTCAACCCTTCCATCCCATACACGGCCAGGGGCGTGGCTCAAAGGAAATTGACTCATGCCCTCCAAAGCCATGGACGACAACAACTCCACACTGGCCTTTGTGTTCATTCACAACCTCCCAACAGAGCATACACATGAACACACACATGCACACATACCCACACACGCACACATACCCACACACACACACACACCACTCGCATGCATGGGAAGGGCACCCGTCTAGAATCCAGGACTGGATTCCGGAATTCCTTGCTGCATGGCCTCTCTGGGCCTTAATTTTCCCCCCATGTAAGCATGTGGATTGACCCAGAGAAGCACTAAAGGCCCATTCTTGCTCTATGTATCTGTGACTTAAGATCTGCCACCTGCCCCGAGGATATGCCAGGGATGACCAGGACAGCTGCCACCAAGCCCCCAGGCTCATCATCAGTCAGCCTCTCAGACACACACACACACACACACCATATACCTCCTCACTGTGCTCCCCGAACACCTGCCCCCACATCCAATGTCAAAGCAAAAATACACACATGTGAGCAAACATAAAGCTGTTCAGGCAAAGAGGGGAAAGACGCAGGGGTCCCCAAAGCCCTTCTTCACTTTGTGTCCCCTTGCTGCGATCATGGAGAGTTAAAGAGGCTTCCTTGGGAGAAGAGCTCTGCCACCAGGGCTTCCCCAGTGTCTTTGGGGGTCTGTGAAAAAGAGGATCCTCTGAGGTTTACTGGGAGGGCTCAAGGCTGAGGGAATGGAGAGGAAAATTTTAGCAGTTCCATCCCAGTGTAAGGACCAACCCCAAAAGTTAAACTTGCACCACAGACTAAAGGTCAAGGGCATCCTGTGTTTCTCCCCTTTCTTCCCCAGAGTGACAAGGGCCAGTTCAGACTGACAGAAATCCAACAGCTTTCCTGAGCTGGAAATTTCAGAACAGTCTGCAAGTTACTCCCAGGTGACTGAAGGTCAAGGTGAGGCCCCCCTGCCTCTGCCTGCGAGTCTCCCCCGGTTTGCATTTTTCTTGACACCGGCATTTCCTGAGGTTGAGCTCTCTGGGGAGTTCTAGAGAATGGCTAGTAAGGCTTTTTGAGCTTGCACATCTCACCTGCCTTTCCTGTCTTTTGCCTGGGAAAGGAAAGTTATTTTCCCAGGTCAGCAAGGGGCAGAACATCGGCCAGCCCAGCCCAGAAGTACAGGGGGAGGTCATGGGCCCTGGGGCAGAACAATGGGAGACAATTCAAGGTGTGGTAACAACAACCAAGTTGCCCTCAGTCTGGGCAGAAACTGAACTCTACCCCTCTCCCACCCCAATCTTGCCCGCCATCCCACCAGATTCCAGACCTAAAGGGATCAAGGATGAGAGCGAAGGGAGAAGGGAGGGTCCCCAAGAAAACCGCACCCAAGCGAGCACTGTCTGAAGAGAAAAACTAGCTCCAGTTCTCCGAATTCTGGCAGAGCGTCTGGGAAGGCGATCAGTGCTTCTTTCCATGGCGCAAGGCCTGGGTTCTGGGTGTGCTTGAAGAAAGCCACTGGGGTGTGGGGTGACATCGCCATGGCTGAGAAGGGGCTAGGGGGTCCGGAGGGAAGGAGCCAGGACCGGAACTGCAAGGGCGTTGCTGCCCAGGGGTGTGGATGATTGCTCATGTCCAGCTCAGACCAGTTCAAGAAACTAACCTCCATTTATTTTCTTGGTGAGTCCTTTTTTTTTTTTTCAGACTGTTAACAGAAAAAAAATTTTAAAAAGCAGAAAACTGAAAAAAAAAATCCTGGTACATGAAATAAAGATTTTTTTTTTTTATAGCTTGGTCCTCACTTCAGTGAATTTCTTTAATTCCTTTCCCAACTCCTGGCATCCTATTTAAAACAATCCTAAAGCTACAGATTATTGGGGATGAGAGGTTTAGATGCTGTACAGTAGGGTGTCCCCCCACTCTCTAGATCATGAGTTCCCTATTAAATATCCTTTAGGGATACTTGCACGCCTCCAGTGACAGCGGGCTCACCCCCTCCAAAGATAGCACCAGCCAGTGCTAAGCAGCACTCTTTGGCAAAAGTCTTCTCTGCACACTGAATTTTAATCCACCTCTTCCTTCACACTCCAACAACACTGAATAAATCCCTTCCCTTTTCAGCATGACAGCCCCTCAGATATTTGAAGACAGAGAGCATGACGTCCTTGAGTTTTATCTTTTAGAATAAAGCAGCCCCACTCAACATCCCAGTTACACTCCAGGGTTTCCATTTTCCCCCGTGAAATTGTGCAGTTTGGAATGGACATGACCCTACCAGTTTACTCAGGGGGCTCCCTGCAGAGGGGTGCTTCTCAGGAAGAGGAGAGCCATGGAGTGGCAGAAGAATGGGGAGGGTCCCTGGGACTCTCTTAACTTGAAGAGATGAGAAAGACAAGATGGAATGCTAACAGGAGGATTTGACCTTTGACATCAGAGAAAGGCCCCATTGGAAGGATGACCTGTCATGCCCCAAAACAGCTGTCTAAGATAACAGTGCTATCTAAGATGTGTTGGGGAAGCATACTCACTGTACAGCTCTCCTGGGGCTCCAGAGAAAGGAGATGGCAAGCAGATGACACCTACACACCGCACAGACCTAAGAGAAGGTAAGCCCTGTATGACGTGGCCCGGAAAAGTCTACTCTAGAAGGGTCCAATGTTCAAAACTCCCTGTTCAACTCAGCCTCAGTCTGCTGGGGCCACACCACCAAGCCCCCACCAATCTCAATTATCTCTCTCTCCAGGCTCACCCCTAACACTTGTGGGGTCCAGGGCAAGAGTAGAAAGGGAGGCTCACTCTCCATAACTTAAGTCTGAAGATTTAACAGCTGCACATCGAACTAACGACCTTAAAAAATGGTCTATCAGCCAGGCGAGGTGGCTCACCCCTGTAATCCCAGCACTTTGGGAGGCCGAGGAAGGTGGATCATGAGGTCAGGAGTTCAAGACCGGCCTGGCCGAGATGATGAAATCCCGTCTCTACTAAAAACACAAAAATTAGCCGAGCGTGGTGGTGGGCGCCTGCAATCCCAGCTACTCGGTAGACTGAGGCAGAGAATTGCTTGAACCCGGGAGGCAGAGGTTACAGTGAGCCGAGATCGCGCCACTGCACTCCAGCCTGGGTGACAGAGCGAGACTCTATCTCAAAAAAAATTAAAATAAAATATAAAATAAAATTTAAAAATATGGTCTATCCTCTGTCCTGGCAAATATGTCCTTGTGACAAACTAAAATGTTAGGTTTGAATTTAGAATTCTCAACCTCCTCTGCATTCTGCTCCTCAAAGTAGCAGCATGGGGCAAGCCCACCCTGGAACCCAAGACCACAGCTCCCTGCCCATGACCCACCCCTCCTCCTTTCCCACTTCCAGCTCCACTCAGCACGTTCAGGGCATCTCCCACAAAGTGGGCACACATCCCAGCCTGCACACCCAGCTTTCCCAAAACCACTGCTTAAGGCAGGAGGACATGGGTCCTCAGGAGGACAGATGGCAGCCAGCCCTGGAAGCCAGCACGGCAGGACTCTTGGAGCAGAAATTCTACAGCAGCAGGCATCAGACGAGTGTCTAGCAAAGGGTAGGGCTTGGGGTGAGCACATCGCCTTGGCCTGTGAATTCCTCACCATGTGGGAAAGGGCCTGGTCTGAGGAGGGCCAGGGCAGGGTCCCCTCTTGCTCTTGTTTAAGGCCAACACAGCCTCTCTCTGCCTTTTGAATGTAGATTTTAACACTCAGAGCGCAGTTTAAGGACCAACTCCCAGAGGGTCAGGTAGAGGCCACGGAGCTCAGAAGACCTCTCCCTTCACGGAAGTCACAGGTGGAGGCCAGCAAGGGCAAGCGATGTGTCCAGGCTTACACAGTGAATCGGCTTCAAGCAGGCACAAGGCCCAGGGCCTCCAGACCTTCCAGCATCCCTGGCCACCTGCCTCAGATGGAGGTTTGAAGCGTTCCTCCTTCCCCCTCTTCCATTCATGCTTCAGGCTTAGCAATTCCTCCTTGCAGTCATGCTGACTTCACCAAATCCAAAAACTTCAAAGCCTCTGCAGGGAGTGAGGGAAGGTGCTGCTGTGTTGGTGAGCGCCTAGACCTGCCTAACAAGGAGTATTGGTTTAGACTGACTTCTAAGGCCGCTTGGTGAAAGCTGGCTGGCAGCCAGCAACTGCCTGCTCCCCCAGGGCACAGCTCTGGAAAGAAGCATTACCATCACCAGGGGAACTTTGCACTGCCTCCCCTGCCCATCATGGGCTGGGCAGTCACAGACATGAATACTTCCGTGTACTGAAGCCAACTCCTGTGGGCTCATGTGAGCCAGTTATGTGCATCTCTTCCCAGCTAACTCCATATTCCATGACGCCACAGCAGCAACTTGAAGTCGGCCATGGTGGGAACATTTACACTACAGCAATGGGCAAATGCTGCTAATCAGGGCTTATTTTTCCTTTTCTTTTCTTTTCTTTTTTTTTTTTTTTTGAGACAGAGTCTCACTCTGTCACCAAGCTGGAGTGCAGTGATGAGATCTTGGCTCACTGCTACCTCCGCCTCCCAGGTTCAAGTGATTCTCCCGCCTCAGCCTCCCAAGTAGCTGGGACCACAGGTGTGCGCCACCACACCCAGCTAATTTTTGTATTTTTAGTAGAGATGGGGTTTCACCATGTTGGCCAGGATGGTCTCGATCTCTTGACCTCATGATCCGCCCACCTTAGACTCCCAAAGTGCTGGGATTACAGGGTGAGCCACTTCGCCCGGCCCAACAGCATTCTTTTTTTCAATGAAGAGCCGGTTGTTAAACATTTGCCAGCATATCACTGCATCAATCTGTGGGCATGGTGTGTGCCCAGAGGCTCATTCATGGACATCTCAGAGACACATCCACACCCCACAGTGCATGTGCATTTGTGTATGGCCACATACATGTTTCCATGTGTGCACATGTGCGTGCACACACACACATACACACCCACACACGCTTCTGGAAGTAGATCCATTCACACAAATATACTCAATCAGTCATCAGCCTTTATTGATCACCTGCCCCAGCAAGCCTTGATCTTGCTGCCAAGAGTACAGGGATGACAAGGATGTGGACTTTCCTGCAGGAAGCTCTCAATAGAGGCAGAGACAGGGACAGGTAAGCAGAGACTGACCAAGAAAGGTGATAATGCCACCACAGGGGGAGGAGGGTGAACGAATAGGGGGTGAGGCACATGGAGGAGGTGACGCTGGGGCTGAGGACGTACATAGGCACTGCACATGGTTCTCCACATGCTTAGTCCCTAGGTCCTTGGAGACCCATCTGTGCACTTCCATGCACAGGCCAGCAGACAGGGTGCATGCTATGTCACAGACGCTCGCATCTATGTGGACACACAGACCACATGTGCATGCTTGTGCACCCACACAGACTCACAACATCCATCAGAACAAGGGAACACAGCACAAGGTCAGATGGCCTCACCATATCTGTCAGAACAAGGGAACACAGCACAAGGTCAGGTGGCCCATTTCTGTCACCAGGTGCACCCCGCCCTGAAGCAGTGAGCCCATCTTTCCCTCACTCTGGCTCGCCCTCTCTCCACCACTCTCTCTCTCTGTCCCCCTGTCTCCCACTCTCTCCTGTTCTGGCTCCCTTGTTTTTTCTCCCTCCTCTCTCTTCCACCGAGTTACCAGCCTCTGTCTCACCTCATCCACTATGCTGCAGAAGGGATTCCAAGGGGAATACGAAGTCAGTCATATGAAACCCAGGCACCTCTGTCAGTCAGTAGGGCTGGAGGTGGAGACAGAAATGGGGCCCCAGATGGGATCTCTGAGGCAGCCCTTTGAGATGAGTCCCACAAGATCAAGAACATCCCTCCCACCCCATTCATTCCAGGCCCGGGATGAACTATCACGATCCTGAAACAGTTCAAATCTCAGCACCTCACGGGGAGGTAAGACAGGGATGTGAAACTCAGATACCAACCTCAGGCAGCATAGAGCTAATTGTTGGGGGGACAGAGGCGGGAAAAGGTAGGACTGGAGCTAAGCCACAGCTTCACTATGTCATTGTCTTACTCGAAAACTTTCAGTGGTTCTCTAGCACCCTCACAGTAAAGCTTCAAAGCCCTCCTTGGTTTGGAAGTCTGTTCATCTATCTTGCCACAGCAAATTGGGATTTATTGAGATTCTACAATGTGTCAGGCACTGCCAGATCATGGTATCATAGCCCTATTAAACAGGCATTATTATCCCATTTATAGGTATGAAAACTGAGGCTCAGGGAGGCAGAACGAGGGTTCTACCTTGAGAACGAGAGAGGCAGTATGAGGGTTAAGAAGGTGGGCTCTGGACCAGGCACGGTGGCTCACGGCTGTAGTCCCAGAACTTTAGGAGGCCAAGCTGGGTGGATCACGCCAGCTCAGGAGTTTGAGACCAGGCTGGGCAACATGGTGAAACCCTGTCTCTACAAAAAATACAAAAATTAGCTGGGCATGGTGGTGCACGCCTTCAGTCCTAGCTACTTGGGAGGATGAGATGGAAGAGTCACTTGAGCCCAGGAGTTCAAGGCTGCAGTGAGCCATGATTGCATCACTGCGCTCCAACCTGGGCAACAGAGAGAGACCCCGTCTCAAAAAAAAAAAAGAAGAAGGTGGGCTCTGTAGCCACATTGGCAGGGTTCAGATCCGCAACTTTGGGCAAATTATCCACACGTCAGTTGCCTCATCTGTAAGAGGGGAATGATAATAGCAACCACCTTATAAGGTTGTATGAAGTAAATGAATTCAAGACGTGAGAGTAGTGCCTGGCACATGGCAATTGTAATGTAAGCTCACACTTACACAGCACTTCCTATGTGAGTGAACACTCAATATCTGTAGCCATGGCACCAAGATATCCTTAGAATGTGGTGGACTGGGGTTCAAAGGTGGGGGTCTCTGGATCCAGAGCCCTCATTCATACCCATTATTCTGTCCTGCTTCCATCATCTATACACACGAGCATGCGCGGAGACCTGTCGGGTCCCCTAATGGAGAGCTGTGCAGGATACAGAAGGGCAAGGAGAAGGAAAAGGGTGATTCTTCCTGGCAGGGGTGTGGAGATCTGGGTTATAGAGGTGGTGTCAGGGAGTGTTGTACAGTTCTGAGTCGTGAAAGCCCCAGAGAACTGAGACTTAGGCCATACCCATCTCCTTTCTGGTGCTATATCAGCCTGGGCTGCAGCCACAGAGACTTACACTGGCTCTTAGGAACACTTCAAGACCACTCCGATGCCTTGCATTCATTCATTCATTCATTCATTCATTCTTTCATTCTTTCAGCTCCCACCACATGCCATTCACTGTGCTTAATGCTGGGGATAGCTGCAATCAAGACAAACATGGTCCCAGCCTTCTGTAACTCATGTGCTATAGGAAGAAAGGGAAAATTGGCCAGGTGCGGTGGCTCACGCCTGTAATTCCAGTACTTTGGGAGGCTGAGGCAGATGTATCATGAAGTCAGGAGTTTGAAACCAGCCTGGCCAACGTGGTGAAACCCCATCTCTACTAAAAATACAAAAAATTAGCCGGGCATGATGGCGCATGCCTGTAATCCCAGCTACTCGGGAGGCTGAGGCAGGAAAATTGCTTGAATGCAAGAGGTGGAGATTGCAGTGAGCCAAGACCATGCCACTGCACTCCAGCCTGGGCAACAGAGCGAGACTGTCTCAAAAAAAAAAAAAAAGAAAAGAAAAGAAAAAGAAAAAGAAAAAAGGGAAAATTAGCAAGTTAAGAATCAAATAATTATATAATTATAGATTATTGTGAATGCTATGAAGTAAGTGCATTGGGGCAATGATTTTTAGAATATCAGCTACCCAGGAGGCTGAGGCAGGAGGGATGCTTGAGACTAGGAGTTCGAGGCTGCAGTGCACTATGATTGCACTTGTGAACAGTCACTGCACTCCAGTCTGGGCAACGTAGTGAGAACTTGTCTCTCTAAAAAAAAAAAAAAAGAGAGAGAGAGAGAAAGAGAGAAATTTATCAGGGATTAACCTCTCTTTAGATGACTGGAAATTCAGTGGCTTAAAACAGCAATACCATTTTATTATCTCCCACAGTTCTGTGGGCTCAGTTGGGTGGTTCTTCTGTTCCGTATGATGTTAGCTGGGCCTGCAGTCATTCAGGGGCTCACCTGGGCTGCAGCACCCAGGCTGGCTCACGCACATGGCTGGAATCCATGCTGACTGTTGGCTGGGGGTTCAACTGGGCTGTTGAGCTGAACACCCCATTTCTCCCGCTGTGTCTCTCTATGTGATATGGGCTTCCCACAGCATACCAGCTGGGTTCCAGGTGGCAGGAAGGAGAAGCTGCCAGTCATCTGAAGGCCTCACCTCGGAAGCCTCAGTAAATTACCTCTGCCACATTCCATTGGCCAAAGCCAGGCCCAACGCCCGGCCCACTTCCAGGAGGAGGAGAAATAGAGTCTGTTTCTTGATGGGAACAGCAGCATACACAGGAGAGGCCAGGAAGCACTGGGAGTTGTCTTTGCAGACCAGCTACCACAACCCCTTTAAACAGAGCAGTCAGGGGAGGCCTCCCTAAGATGCTGACTTTCAGCAGAAATTTGAAGCGTAGGAATGATGAGCCAGGCAGAAGCAGGGGATGGGAGAGAGCAGAGGGCTCCAGGCAGAGGGAACGGCACATGCAAAGCCTCTTTTTCTTTTTTTTTTTTTTTTTTGAGACGTAGTTTTTGCTCTTGTTGCCCAGGCTGGAGAGCAATGGCATGATCTCAGCTCACCACCACCTCTGCCTCCCGGGTTCAAGTGATTCTCCTGCCTCAGCCTCCCCGAGTAGCTGGTATTACAGGCTTGTGCCACTACTCCCAGCTAATTTTGTATTTTTAGTAAAGACCGGGTTTCTCTATGTTGGTCAGGCTGGTCTCGAACTCCTGACCTCAGGTGGTTCGCCTGCCTCGGCCTCCCAAAGTGCTGGGATTACAGGTGTGAGCCACCACGCCCAGCCACAAAGCCTCTTTTCTGAAGCAGGGAAAGAACCTGGCTTGTGAGAACATCTCAAAGATGACTCCAGTAGTTATCCTGGGTGAGCAAGGGGACAAGTTACACAGGATAAGGTGGAAGAGGTGGGCAGGGGTCAGTCCTCTAATCCCGGGGTCCCCAATCCCTGGGCCTTGGACCAGGGCCACACAGCAGGAGGTGAGCAGCGGGTGATGGAGAATTACCACCTGAGCTCCACCTCCTGTCACATCAGCGGCAGCATTAGATACTCACAGGAGGATGAGTCCTACTGTGAACTGTGCATGAGAGAGATCTAGGTTGCCTGTTCCTTATGAGACTCTAACTAATGCCTGATGATGTGAGGAGAAACAGTTTCCCACCCAGTATGTGGAAAAATTGTCTTCCATGAAACTGATCCCTGGTGCCAAAAAGGTCGGGGACTGCTGCTCTAATCCAAAGGGAAGGCCTTTGAGTTATATTCTAGGTGCAAGGAGAGCCACTGATCCAGACACAACAGGGAAAATCACCACTGGGCTTTCCATGCAAACTTCACCCAGCCAGAACCAGGGCTCAGGGCTAAACACTGTGGCAATGGCCCGATATAAGAAAGGCATTTTTCTTTCCTGAAGCTCGTGATTTTATTTGAATTATTTACTTGCAGGCCGGGCACAGTGGCTCACATCTGTAATCCCAGCACTCGGGAGGCCAAGGCGGATGGATCACCTGAGGTCAGGAGTTCGAGACCAGCCTGGCCAACATGGTGAAACCCCATCTCTACTAAAAATACAAAAATTAGCCAGGCATGGGCACCTGTAATCCCAGCTACTTGGGAGGCTGAGGCGGGAGAATCACTTAAACTCAGGAGGCGCAGGTTGCAGTGAGATCACGACATTGCACTCCAGCCTGGGTGACAGCAGTATTCCATCTCAAAAGTAAATAAATAAATTAAATTAAATATAAAATGAATTATTTACTTGTAATTTGTAACCCATCCTTTTCCATTCAATTCAATTTCTATTTATTCAGCTTATTCTATGAGTAGAACAGCTTACAGTAAGACTTATGAATAAAAGTCTGTCAAAGGTAGAAGACCAAAACCATGGAAAGGGGAAGTAAGCAGTTTGACAAAAAGCACAAGCTTCCTGGCAAGCAAGGCAAAAAGGGAAACATCATACACTCTGTAGCTTTCACTGTCAAAGTCAACACTTCAGTTGCCGTGGAGAAGAAAATCTTTTTTCTTGATCTCATGGTCTCTGGGGAGCAGAGAAAACATACATGAAACAGTAATTAACAATTCAGGGCTACAACTAGAGAAGGCCAAAAGAGTGCCCTAGGCAGAAGCTGGGATGGAAGTCTTCCAATCTTTGCATCTCAGAGCACTCACCCCTTGAGAAAAGGCAGGAAAGGGCACGCAGGAGAGCAGGGACAATGGAGTTGGAAAGGTCTGCATTTGAAGCCCTGCTCCACCCTTCGCCAGCTGCATGACGAGCTCAAGAGATAGCTTCCGTCGGTCTTCATTTCCTCATCTGCAAAATGGGTTCAATAATCCCCGCATAGGGTTAGCTCAGAGGACACACTGGAATGAAAGCTCCTGGCATAGTAGCTGGTACGTAATAGGAGTAGTCACAACCAAAGCTGGAATCTATTAAGCTCTCCCTTTGTGCCACGCATTAATTTAAGCACTGCATGTGTTAATGCTAAAGGCAACATTGTGAGATAGGTCTTATTATCCTCATTTTACAAATGAGGACATGGAGGCTCAGAGATGTTAAGATATGTGCCCAGGTTCACACAGCAGGAATATGGTGGAGCTGAGACAATAAGCCAGGTAGTCCATTGGCTGCAGAGCTCACCTCCTCACCGCCACACTAACCCACTTCTCCAATAGTGGTTTCCTTGCCCCCTTCTCTTTCCCTTCATCCCCCAATACACTGCTGAGTACTCACAGCTAACTGGAAGCAGCTCCCTCCACAAAGCCAAAATCCCCGTCCCACTAGCTCATCTCACTCTCACCTCCTCCCCACCCTTTGCCTCTCTCCTTGTCTGAGCTCTGTCCTCTGCAATTCATGAAAGCCAGAACTGAACTCTCCTCACAGGACAGCCCTTCAGAGTCCGTTGCTTCTGCTGAAGGGCATGGCAAAGGATTAACAGAGGTGAGATGCAAAGCTGGCCATGGAGAATGGGGAGGATTCTTCCCATGGGCTCCTTGAGGGCAGAGGCATGCCTCACTTATCACATGTGTGTGGTACATGGCAAAGCCCAGTAACCTTATGAGTTGAATAAAGGTGAATTGAATTGAATTGAACTGAAGCGGATTGCAAAGTTGAATGGATGGAAGGTGGGTGGGTGGATGGATGAATGGATGGATGGATGATTGAATGGATGAATGGGGGGATGGATGGATGACGGATGAATGGATGGATGATTGAATGGATAGGTGGGTGGATGGATGGATGATTGGATGGATGGACAGGTGGATGGATGAATGGACAGGAGTGACCACCGCTGGTAGGGAATTCTGGTAACTGAAGGTACAGAGGTAGGAATGCCCAAGGTGTGTTGGAAAACACTGAATAAATTAGTGTGATTGGAGACGAGGACTCATGCTAGGGAGATGCAGAAAAAGAATAAATATCCACACTCTCCCTCCTACAAGGAGAGGTGGAGGCACTGGCAGGTGCTGTACAAGTTGTGTGCTCCATGGCTGCTGGGAAGGGAGGCGTTAACAGCAGGATGGTTCCTGGCCAGCTGCAACCGGGGTGACACTGACAGATTACAGCGTGTCCTCCGCACTAATAACACTGCGGCGTCCTCCTGCCATTCCCCAGCCAGCTCCAACTTCAGTGGATCAATACCAAAAGGCGCACACTGAAAATCCCCAGCCAACTCCCTCCAAGGCTTGGATGCTTCAAAGCACAGAACTGCAGAGTAAAAGGATCTCAGCGATTTGCTTATTTCCTGGGCTGGGCGCTCCCTGGGGCCAGGGATGGTGTCCTATTCACCTTGGCTTCCCTGCCCCATTACAGGACCAGGCAAGGACAGCCCTCTCCCAAAGTTTGCTGAGTGAAGGAATCTACCTCCTGGCCATTGCGAGTCCTCACAAACACATCTGTGTGGCTCACAATCCCTCAGCCTCTACTTGCATACCTCTAATGACAGGAGGCTCTCAACCTCCCCCAAGCAGCCAGAGCCTGCCTTTATTGGAAAGCTCTGATGATTAAAATCATCTTCTCTATTCTTTTCTTTTCTTTTTTTTTATTTTTGAGATGGAGTCTTGCTCTGTTGCCCAGGCTGGAGTGCAGTGACACGATCTCAGCTCACTGCAACCTCCGCCTCCCAGGTTCAAGCGATTCTTCTGCCTCAGCCTCCTGAGCAGCTGGGACTACAGTTGAGTGCCACCACGCCCAGGTAATTTTTGTATTTTTAGTAGAGACGGGGTTTCACCATATTGGCAAGGCTGGTCTCGAACTCCTGACCTCGTGATCCGCCTGTCTCGGCTTCCCAAAGTGCTGGGATTACAGGTGTGAGCCCCTGCGCCTGGCCCGTCTTCCCTATTCTGAATTAACCCCTCCTCTTTTATTTGTCCGTGGTCTTCTATTTCCCAATTTCTTCCTTTTCCCTGGACACCTCTTTCCTCCTCTCCCAAACCATCCAATATCCCAGTCCTCATTTCCTGGGGTACTGAAGTCAAATAATTAAGGGGAGGAAGAAGGGAATTAGCATTTATTGAGTACCTTCCCTAGTTGAGATAAGTCAGAAATGTCCACGTGCCAGATGCAGTGGCTCATGCCTGTAATCCTAGCACTTTGAGAGGCTGAGTCGGGAGGATCACTTGAACCCAGGAGTTCAAGGTTGCAATGAGCTATGATCATGTCATTGCACTTCAGCCTGGGCAAGAGAGTAAGACCCTGTCTTAAAAAAAAAAAAAAAAAAAAAAAAAAGCCTCATGTTATTCCTATCTCACAGATGGGGACTCTGAGGCTCAGAGAGGTTAAGAAACCCAGAATCACACAGCCACACAGGGGCAGAGCTGGGGCTGTGCCTTTCCAGACCGCAGGCACACAGGATGGATGTTTCCCACATCTTCTTGGCCTCAGGTGAGTCTAGAAAGGACATAACTGGTCCCCTAATGCCCCGAGGGACTTGCTCGAGGTCACAAGAGCAAAGGGGTTGCCCAGATCGAGGCTCTTCCCCCACAGCTTGTTGCTTCCCTCCCTCTCCCCCACCCAAATAGCATTTCTCAGGGAAGAAAACCTGGGCTCCTTAGAAAAACAGCTGATTCTAGGAGTGGGGCAGGGAAAGAACGAGAGGAGGCGGGGACATTTTGTTCTTCCAGGAAGCCAGGAAGTGAACAGACTATGGGGACTGGGGCACAGACTTAGGATCCTCAATGCATCAAAAAGAATGGGAGGACACCAACTCATTATATATCAACTGGCTTCTAAAAGGGGAAGTGGGAACCGAGCAAAATAACATGTATTACATTGTATTACATATAACATGTAAAGTACACATATGCATGCATGTATAGGTGCCCATCCTGCCTGGGAGAGCTCTGCACACTGTGGACACTTGCTGAGATGCCGCCCTGAAAACCTCTGGGCAGGCATTCCAAGCCCCTAGCCCATCCCAGCCCGGCATCTCCCAAGCCTTTCCCTGCCTCTCCCTCTACAGTGAAGATCAACAGGGACGAGGGGCTTCCGTGTGGCGCTGACCCGCACAGATGCCTGGAGAGGAATTGGCTTGCCCAGAATCCCCACTGGGCACTGGGACCAGATCTCCCGGGCTCCTGAGCCCATGGCCTCCTTCCCAGCCCAGTCCACCCAGCTTCCTGGTTCGTGTGCATGGCCTGCTGAGCTGGAACTGCTCGAGAGTCAGCACGAGCCTTAGAGAGGCTGTCCCAAGCCAAGCCCGCAGGCTGCCTCTCTTCCTCTTACTGTGCCTTCTGCCCTGCCAAACGCCTGCCGGCTATGACAGCCCCGCAGCAGCCGCTCTCCCCTGCCTCGTCCCTGCTCTGTCTCTCACCAGGCCTCTGCAGTCCCCATTTCCTGTCCCCATCTGATCACCTCACCCCCAGTCCAGGCCCACACAGTCACACTTGTGCACACAGACCTCTTGATGTCCACGTCCCTACCCCCTGCCATCCTCATCCCACCCTCCAAGCCCGCCCACCCTTTGTCCAAACCAGCATTTAATGGTGACACTTGTCAGGCTCTCAGAAAAAGTCAAGATCTAAACCCACACTGGCTCTTCCCAAAGCCCATGTTTGTAGTTAACAGGCACTTGTCTTGTCTTGCTTTTTGTGCTTATGTCTATATAAAACACCTCTCACAAAACAAACAGGCAAAGTCTCTAGAAAATAAAAAACACAAGAAAGTGTAAGAGTAGTCACCTCTGGGGAGGGAGGGAGGCCAAGGTGGGCAGATCACGAGGTCAGGAGTTCAAGACCAGCCTGACCAACATGGTGAAACCCTGTCTCTGCTAAAAAATACAAAAAAATTAGCCAGACGTGGTGGCATGTGCCTGTAGTCCCAGCTACTCAGGAGGCTGAGACAGGAGAATCGCTTGAACCCAGGAGGCAGAGGTTGCAGTGAGCCAAGATCATCCCACTACACTCCAGCCTGGGCAACAGAGCGAGAATCCATCCCAAAAAAAAAAAAAAAGAAGAGCAACCTCACTTGGGACTTTTTGAGCCTTTTGAATTTTGTACCCCATCCGTGAAAAACCCATACACTTCAGCTTTAGTAAAGGTGACCATTAAAAAACAAAAAAGACAAGTCCTGACTCCACTAGTACCAGTTTTATGACCTTGGGAAAAACTTATGTCAGTATCCCAAGTCTCAGTTTACTCGTGTATAAAATGGGGATGATCACAGTACCTGCCTTATAAGACAGACAATAAACCAAGGCCCAAGAAGTGCTTAGCACCACGAAATAGTCAAGGCTCAGTAAACATGAGTGATGGGCCTCTCTTTGCCCACCTTCTCCATGGAACTCTGAGCTCCTAGCAGAGCTCCCAGCATGGTGATTCCCTGACAAATACAAGATGCAATTCACAGTCCTCAGAATAGCTTTCAAGGCCCTCCCTGCTGGTACCACTGTCTTTCCTACTGCATCTGTTACCCATCCTCAAACACATGACTGACGCCCTTTGACAGCTCCTGCCCGTACATACCCCACTGCCCCTGATGCTTTCCTTCCCCCAGTCCTCATGCACCTTTCTTTGTCTGGTTATCTGCAAATTCATTTCATCCTTCAAATCCTGCAAAACATCTCCCCCTCTTGTAGCCTTCACACTGTGCCACTAGACTTGGTTACCCCGTGGCACTCAGTACAGACTTCTGGGCAACTCAAACCAAACCGCATTGCTAGCTCTTTGCCCTCCATCTCCTCCACTGCTCTGGAAGCTCCAGGGGGACAGAGGCTGTGTTTGCATACCTGCATTCTTAATGCTTAGCATGTAACAGGCACTCAGAAAACGTTTGTTGAATGAATGAATGAATCATCCTGACCACTCAGCTACTTGGTGCCTTCAGGAGCTGAATTACGGTGAGTCATTCATGTCCTGCAAATGCTACACGGTGAAGGCAGTGACCTCCTCTCTTTGCAGTCTCCAGCCCAGAAGCCACCTCTCTCAGCCTGCACACCCTCAGAGAGCCTTCCAGGAGCTGTTCGGCATTGCAGCCTACAGGGAATCCCCCTGCCTCTCCTCTCCCTGCCACAGAGGTCTGTGGAAGCCCTCAATCAGAAGCCGTGCTAGGAGTGGGGATGGAAAGACAAATAAGATACAATCCCGGCCCTCACTGATGAATAACAACCTGGAGGAGATAGATGCCTGGGTCTGCCTCATTCCATCCACCACCTATAATTCATCAAATGCCTACCATGTGCCTCTCTCCCCCGTGCCTTTACATAAGTTCTGTCACCCTCCGTGCCTCAGTTTCCTCCTCAAGTGGGACAGAAAGACCCACCCGATCTAACGCATCAGGACTGCTTGGCAGATAGAACCAGATAATCCACGTAAATTGCTCGATAAACTATGAAGCCCTGTACCGATGTTATTACGGCTATTATTAATATAGCTAAACATAACAGTATTGAATAACTGAAGCCCTCCCCGGAGCAATCACAGTCACTTGCACATAGTAGGTGTTTAATTGATCTTTGATGCGTTGAAATGCAGTCCGGGGGGCGGGGGGTGAGGGGTGGGTTGGGCCTGATTTTTCATGCGTTGTGGAGCAGCGCCATCATGTGCCCACACTGAAGAACACACAGACCTTCTGGCAGAGTGCTTTGACGGACCCAACGGGGAGGGGCTGCTGAGGTCCCTTTAGGACAAATACAAGGAAAAGTCCGTTTGACGCCACGGAGAAAGGAGAAGTTTCTTCGCCCCTAGAGGTGGTACAGGCTCAGAGCATAAACAGAGGCAAAAAGGGTTTGAAACAGCATTGTGGATTATTTCTATCAAGGAGTTTTTGGGAGATATGAAGCACCCAGGGAACAACCCAACCACGTGGTCAAAGCCTGGTCTTGTCTCGTCCGGTCTGACCCTGTGGAAGGTGCTGTTTAATCTTCATCTCAGAAGACTTGAGATCAGGTGTGGTGGCTCACGCCTGTAATCCTAGCACTTTGAGAGGCCGAGGCGGGTGGATCACTTGAGGTGAGGGGTTCAAGACCAGCCTAGCCAACATGGTGAAACCCCTTCTCTACTAAAAATACAAAAATTAGCAGGAAATCGCTTGAACCCGGGAGGCGGAGGTTGCAGTGAGCCAAGACCATGCCACTACACTCTAGCCTGGGCAACAGAGCCGGACTCCATCTTAAAAAAAAAGAACAAGAAGTGAACTTGGCTCTGCCACTCTGCCATACTCAAGCTGTGTGACCTTGAGTAGACGGTTGCCTTCTCTGAGCTCCAGTTGTCTCATCTGTGCAATGAGGTCATGATCCCTGCACCGGCCACCTCAAAGAGTCATTGCGAAGATCAAATGGCGTAAGAGAAGCATAAGTTCAGAAATGGTCAAGTGTTATACAAACACGATGGGTGGCAATCATTCTAATTTCCAATCACAGTAATAACGGGCATTGACTGAGCTCTACACTGTGCTAAACCCTTTCACACATAATCTCACTTAATTCCCACTAAACCTTACCAAATGTGTACTCTTAAGAGGCCCATTTTGTAGATGAGGACATTGGAGTTTAGAGGAATTTGAAATCTTGTCCAACCAAAGTCACACTCAACTAATAAGGAGAAAAGTCAGGATTTGAACTCAGGACAGTGGGACCTCCTCAAAGTAGGAGAGTCTCAATAGTTCCAGCCACAGACATGGGATTTAAGGGGAGCCCCAGATAGGCAGGTAGATGCCTTGAAGAAAACAAAAGAATTATTGACATTTCTTTTGCCCAGGAAATTCTGCTTCCTTCCCAACTCTACCCTAGTACTCGCTGTGACCTTGGAGCCTCCCAGGAGAGGGGAACCCTTGGGCTCTGCATCCAGGGCCCAGTTCACACCCAAAGTCAGAGAATCCCAAAGCATTCCCTTCCAGGGTCCAAGCCTGACCAAAGGCCATGCGTGCTCCTTTAAGGGACTGGCAAGGGCAAAGTGGGGGATGGATCCCCTTCAAGGTCACTGTTAAACAGATGGTAACAAAATCTCTTGGGAGAAGGTGGCTACTTGTCAACAGTCATAATGACCCTCAGGTATCTAGAGTCCTCTTGAGCTAATGAGATGTCTGAGATTGCCTCCTGTCCACTTTCCCAACGTTTGGCCCTCAGAACACTCCTTTGAGGTCAGAATCCTTAGCTCTACCTTACAGATGAGGAAACTGAGGTTCAAGGAAAGGAAGTGACTCATCTGAGGTCATACTGCAAGTAAATGGCAGAGACAGGACTCAAGTCTAAGATTCCAGAGTACAAATCCTCCTAACTCCCGAGGAATCCAGAGACAGGGGAGGTAGAGTGGCCCAGAACTGTTTCTGGTTGACAGCTCTGGTTCTAGGGAAAGTAGTCCAAAAAGGTTTCTGGTTGGTAATCCTAGTTCTAGCCCCACTTCTGCCATCAGCAGGCTGTGTGACCCGAGATAAGTCACTGGGCCTCAGTCGCTTTATGCCAGAGATTCCTCGTGAGCTCTGACTTTGCGTCCTTTATTCATGTCCTTGAGCCATAAAGATGAGGGTGTTCAGCAGCATCTGCAGGTTTTATAGAGAAGCAGCTGTGACTTCGCCTCCCTTGGGAAGCTTTTCCTGACTGCCCAAGGCTGAGTTATTATTGCTCATCGTGCTCTCACAGCACCCACAGCATTGCACTGCAACTTATCAGCAAACTCCCACAGGCCCCAGCGGCAAACATGCATGACTATGAAGAAGTTTGAATCTGGTGCAATAGGGAGTAGTGGGGACTGAGGCAAAGTAGAGAGCCCCTGGCCAAGGGGGCAACTCCTATTCAGCTCCAGCTTCTTCTCGTATCGCAGGAAGGCCAGCCCGGTGTTGCCAGATCTTAAGAGAAGCCAAAAAACTAGATTTTTAGGTGAAATCTGCTTTTTAAACATAGACGCAAAATATATTTGATTAAGGACTTTATAGGTATTGCAGCCCCTGGATTAGCCACATCTACTTTCCCCATTAGACTCTGAGTTACTTGACTGGGCACAGTGGCTCACACCTGTAATCCCAGCACTTTGGGAGGCCAAGGCGGGTGGATCACTTGAGCTCAGGAGTTCAAGACCAGCCTGGCCAACATGGTGAAACCCAGTCTCTACTCAGAAATTACCCGGGTGTGGTGGCGGGTGCCTGTAATCCCAGCTATTCGGGAGGCTGAGGCAGGAGAATCGTTTGAACATGGGAGGCAGAGGTTGCAGTGAGCCAAGATCGTGCCATTGCACTCCAGCCTGGGCGACAGAGTGAAACTCCATCTTAAAAAAAAAAATAGACTCTAGGTTACTTGATAGCATGGCAAGGTCTCCACCTGAACGCTGAGTGACCAACTCGGGGCCTGGTTCCTCACGAGTGACCAGTGATTGCTTTTTATTTATTTATTTTTTTTTTTTTTGAGACGGAGTCTCTCTCTGTCACCCAGGCTGGAGTGCAGTGGCATGATCTTGGCTCATTGCAAGCTTCGCCTCCCGGGTTCATGCCATTCTCCTGCCTCAGCCTCCCGAGTAGCTGGGACTACAGGCGCCCACCACCACACCCGGCTAATTTTTTGTATTTTTAGTAGAGACGAGGTTTCACCGTGTTAGCCAGGATGGTCTCGATCTTCTGACCTCGTGATCCACCTGCCTCGGCCTCCCAAAGTGCTGGGATTACAGACATGAGCCACGGTGCCCGGTCAGTGATTGCTTTTTAAATGTTGCGAGATCTTGCCCCAGCCAAAGCCCCTACTTCCAAGTTTCTGGTAACCAGAGTAACCCCACTGGCATGTATCAAGGGCTTATTTGCATGCCAGGCACTGCCTTAAGCATGTCACATATAAAATCTGACCTAATTCTATTCTCCCTCCCTCCCGAAGTGGTACATGCTATGATTCCATCTATTTTACAGATGAAGAAGCTATGGCTCAAATGGTCACACAACTTGCCCAAGGTCACACAACAGTGGTAAAAATTTAAATCGCTGGAATTCAAATTCAGTCAGTCTGACTCCCCAGATGTCTGCTTGCATTACAGTGATGTCAGACTGCTCCATGAGACCACCTTAAATATCACCTTGCGGTCACTCAGCCCCAGCCACAAGGCTCTCCAGGCACCCGCCGGGGCAGTGGGAACCAAGGCATGTGGTATGAAGAGATGAGAGACCGGATGCGGTGGCTCATGCCTGTCATCTCAGCATTTTGGGAGGCTGAGGAGGGCGGATCACCTGAGGTCAGGAGTTCGAGACCAGCCTGGCCAACATGGTGAAACTCTGTCTCTACTAAAAAACACAAAAATCCGCTGGGCCTGGTGGCAGGCACCTGCAATCCCAGCTACTCGGGAGGCTGAGGTGGGGAGAATTGCTTGAACCCAGGAGATGGAGGTTGCGGTGAGCTGAAATCGCACCACTGCACTCCAGCCTAGGCAACAGAGAGAGACTCCATCTCAAAAAAAAAAAAAAAAAAAAAAAACAGAGATGAGAACAACACTGTGCTGCAGAAAGTGGGGGCCTGAGGTTCAGAGAGGGGCACCTACTAGCCCACAGCTGTGCGGCCAGATCGAGCCAAAATCAGTATTTATCTTTGGCCCTAAGACCCCAAATCCCAGCTTCCAACAGAAGAAAACATATGGGGCAGAGAGAAGGAGCCAAGGAGAGGCCTGGTTATTGCTCATCCCATTGAAACAGTCAAACACTCTCTAAACTAGCTAAATGGTTCTGAAGGAAATGGGAATCTATTTTGTCTCCTGTCGCCAGGCCTGCAAATCCTGATATATCTCAGGCCACGGCAGCGAAGCGGATGGCTCAGCACTTGGAGACATGCCCACACGAGGCAGGAAGTAGGGTGGATGATTCAACAGGTACCTCTCTATTCTGAGAACTGGTCCTGTGATGGGTGAGTGTACATGCAGCTGAAATAAAAAATGATTTAGAATGTCGACCACTGGAACGCACAGCAAAGCCTCCCTTTCTTCCTGGGGGACTTGTGGCATTCTTTGGGGCTTTAATCTTTCCAGGTTTTCTAGTTCTGAAATTTTGCTGAGACAACAAGGTTCTTGGGAGGCTGGGGTGGGCTGGTGGCTCCAAAGCTTCCTTTCCTGCTGGCACAGCCTCCAACAGGATGATAAAATGGCTGCCGTCCTACCTGGGACACCATGTTCCTTGCCCTCAGTCTTCCTCATCTGCAGAATGGGGGTAGTGATCTCTGCCTAACCGAGACAGAAAAGTTTGGTACAGGTAGCACAGCTCCACAATTTCTTATCTGAAATCCTCGCGGCTCAATGTGCTTTATCAATTTATGTATTTTATTTTATATTTTATTTATTTTGAGACACAGTTTCACTCTGTCGGCCAGGCTGGAGTGCAGTGGCCCGATTTTGGCTCACTGTAACCTCCACCTCCTGGGTTCAAGCGATTCTCATGCCTCAGCCTCCCCCAGTAGCTGGGATTACAGGGACCCACCACCACGCCTGGCTAATTTTTGTATTTTAGTAGAGATGAGGTTTCACCCAGGCTGGTCTCAAACTACTGACTTCTGGTGAGCTGCCCGCCTTGGGCTCCCAAAGTGCTGGGATTACAGGTCTGAAGCCACCACATCCGGCCTCAATGTGCTTTATAACTTGGAATTCTTTGGATTCCTGAAAGGTTTTCGAGTGGATCTACCGCATATCAGGTGACATGCCAGTGAGCTCTGGAGCAATATTCCATAAACCCTTTAATTTTTCTGCAGCAAAATGTATAAATATTCACGCTAAGTGGGACAAAATAAAGACTATAAATAACCTCACATCCAATTCATATCAGGTTTGCCATCAAATGCTTGCCCCAATCTCATGAAAAAGCTTTAGATTTTCAGAGCTTTGTGGGTTTTGGAATTGTGCATGGAGAGTGCCAGCTTTGGTTTCAGCCACACCTGGGTTTCCATTCCAAATGCACCCTGACCAGCTGGCTCACCTGGGGCAAGACATTCCTCCTCTCTGAGCCTCAGTGTTCTCGTCTATAAAATGGGGTGATGATTCCTATGGTGCTTCTTAAAAGATAAGCAAGGAAACGCAAGTTGCCACTCTGGAAGAGAGGTTGGCCACACTGACCGGTCCCAATGAGGTGAATCCACCACAGGATATCCGGGATCTTTCTGCACACAAGGCGGTGGCAGACTCCCTTTGACCAAACTTACAAGGCTGACGCATAGCAGAAGATCCATTTATTATTGGAGAGCACAGTAAATACCCCACCAGCAGAATGGAGCACTTCCATCAGCCTAACCAGCACGTGCTTCCCTACAGCACAAGTTCCATGAGGATCCACGGTGTCACAGCACTGCTTGGTGGCAGGGAGTCAGAATAAACAACAGCATTAAGAAGCATTTATCGGCCAGGCACGGTGGCTCACGCCTGTAATCCCAGCACTTTGGGAGGCCGAGGCGGGCGGATCATGAGGTCAGGAATTCGAGACCAGCCTGACCAACGTGGTGAAACCCCATCTCTACTAAAAATACAAAAATTAGCCAGGCATGGTGGCAGGCACCTGTAATCCCAGCTACTAGGGAGGCTGAGGCATAAGAATCACTTGAACCTGGGAGGCAGAGGTTGCAGTGAGCCAAGATTGCACCACTGCACTCCAGCCTGGGTGACACAGCCAGACTCCATCTCAAAAAAAAAAAAAAAAAAAAGTGTTTATCACAGAGCAGCTTGAAGCCACCTCTGTTTTGGGAGGACAGTCTTACCCGGGGAATGGGGATGATGCTTGAGCCAGCGCAACCAAGAACCTGTGCCCTGGACAATGCCAGCCCTGGCTCTGTGACCATCCCCTTCCTAAATGTCCCCTACTGAGGGACACTTCCATTCACTCTTTCTCCAAAGTTGCAAGGTAACTGACCAGGTTCCCCTTGGTAAACTAGGATCGTATTCCAGGCCTCCCCCTCTGAGCCAGACTCCTTCAGAAACTTTGCCTGGCATTGATGTACCCCACACTCTTCAGTCATGTTTGCAGATAACCAAACTGATGACTCTTAGAAAAGGCCAGTCTGCATCCATGGCAGAGTTCATACCCCTAAGATGGCCACGACAATACCTCCCACTCCACATACTTGTTCCATAACTTTGTGCCTTACCCAGCAAGAAATTCAGTCTCTGTCCTCCCTCGCCCTTGACTCTAGGCAGGCTTGTGACTCACTTGGAACCAACAAGTTACGGGGATGGGAGAGATGCTGTATAACTTCGGAGGCTAGATCACAGAAGGCAGCATGGCTTCCAGCTTGTTCGCCAGAATACTTGCTCTGAACTCCCCACATGGACTCACTACAGAATGACCCTGAGGCTAAATGGAGAGAGAGAAAAACAGAAGCTCCACCCACACCAAACTATAATGCATGAGAGACCCCAGGTCAGAACCACCCAGCCAAGCCCTCTCCCAATTCCTGACCCACAGAAACTAAGAGATATAATAAAAAGACTGTTGTTGTTTTAAACCACTAAATTTTGGTGTGATTGGTTACACAGCAACAGATAATCAGTAACAGAGGACCATTTTACTTCCCTTCTGCCTAGGGTGACCATACCTCCCAGTTTAAGTGAGACAATCCCAGGGCATAATTATTGATAGTAATCCCTTCGTCACCCCCAAAGTGTCCCAAATTTGAATGGTAAGTCATATGGTCACCCTACATTTGGCCAAGTTCTCAGAACACACTTTAGATTCTGGCAACAACTCTTCACTCACAGCCTAGAATAATCGAAATGCCTGAGGTACCTAGCACAGTGTGTTGAAGAAATCAATGCTGGTTCCTTCTCTTTCTCCTAATTCTGTTCTGTCTGAATGCTCAGCAGTATTTTACCAAGAGATGGCTTCGGGCGCAGTGGCTCATGCCTGTAATCCCAGCACTTTCGAAGGCCAAGTCAGGTGGATCACCTGAGGTCAGGAGTTCAAGACCAGCCTGACCAACATGGTGAAACCTCATCTCTACTAAAAATACAACAATTTGCCAGGCATGGTGGCGGGCACCTGTAATCCCAGCTACTCGGGAGGCTGAGGCAGGAGAATCATTTGAACCGGGAGATGGAGGTTGCAGTGAGCCAAGATCTTGCCACTGCACTCCAGCCTAGGCAACACAGCGAGACTCTGTCTCAAAAAAATAAAATTAAATAAAAAGGAGATGGCTTCAGGAGCAGGCTCAGTCCCCTCACAGTCCCTGGAACACTCTCCCCCAACAAAACCTGCATCCTCCTGAAAGCAGAGTACCTGCTACACAGACACAGCTCCCAGGCAAGTCCAGGGCTACCCCCTTCACAAGACGGCTCTCAGTAAGCCTGTCCCACGGGGAAATTCTGGAGCTGCCGCTGGTATTCAAGATGGGAAGGCTCTGAATTCCTTAGAGAGAGCAGGCAAGAGACAGAGGAGGGGCGAGACAACCCTGCAACCGTCTTTTTATTATCTCTCTTGGTTTCTGTGGGACAGGAATTTGGGGTGGGCTTGGCTGGATGGTTCTGCCTTGGGGCCTCTCGGGCCTCTCGGAAAGGCCTTCTTCACCACCCCTGTAAGGGATGGAAGCTTCTGAGTCCACAAAACTGTTCACAAATCCTGGCTCCACCATTTACTCACTGGGCCAAGTACTCAACGACTCTGAGCTTCTTTCTCCCCACCTGCACGAATGGGAGGGTCCATGGCAATTTCAAGGAACTTTTAGAAAAGAATCAAAGAAGTAATTTTTTTTGTTGTCTTTGTTTTTTTCAGAGAGGAAATTATTTATATAAAGCCCATAGCACAGTGCCTGGCATAAAGTAAGCACTCAATGAATGTTATTTTCTTTTTTAAGACACAGGAGCTTACTACTAGAAAATGTACCTGTCTTACCTGGAAGGGACAGAACAGTACAACAAGAAAGGCCAATGGGCCAGTTGCGGTGGCTCACACCTGTAATCCCAGCACTTTGGGAGGCCGAGGGGGGGTGGATAACATGAGTTTAGGAGTTCGAGAACAGCCTAGCCAACATGGCCAAACCCCGTCTCTACCAAAAATACAAAAATTAGCCAGGCGTGGTGGTGCAGGCCTGTAATTCCAGCTACTCCGGAGCCTGAGGCAGGAGAATTGCCTGAACCCCGGAGGCAGAGGTTGCAGTGAGCCAAGATCGAGCCACTGCACTCCAGCCTGGGTAAGAGAGGGAGACTCTGTCTCAAAAAACTAAAAAGGCCAATCAGAAAACAGAAATAACGGTGTATCTCACTTCTAGACACAGACATAGGGGGATGTATGTATATGGAGGGCCTGGCAGGCACCTGTAGTCCCCCTTTTTCAGTTCAGAAAACATTTCTGTCCCGCAGGCGGGGTGCTGTGCACGCCGCGATCCGCATTTGCAGGACCAGGGATGTTGTGCTGCTCTCCGATGAGGCAGTCACAGAGTCTGTCTGCTGCAGCCCTTTCTGAACCTCTGGCTGTCTGGACGCTCCACTGTGCTCCTTACCAAGATGAAGTGCATCTTGGTGGCCATTGAGGGCACAGAGGCCCTCTTCTACTGGACGGATGAGGAGTTTGAAGAGAGTCTCCAGCTGAAGTTCGGGCAGTCAGAGAATGAGGAAGAAGAGCTCCCTGCCCTACAGGACCAGCTCAGCCCCCTCCTAGCCCCGGTCATCATCTCCTCCATGACGATGCTGGAGAAGCTCTCGGACACCTACACCTGCTTCTCCATGGAAAACAGCAACTCCCTGTATGTCCTTCACCTGTTTGGAGAATGCCTGTTCATTGCCATCAATGGCGACCACACCAAGAGCGAGGGGGACCTGCAGCGGAAGCTGTACATGCTCGAGGCATTTCTCAAATGCACAAACATTGTTTCATGAGCCATTTTAGCCCAGATAGGTCATGGTTTCAGTGGCAAATGCTGCAGGTGGTAGATGCCTGTTACATGAACCACATTGGCCAGTGCAGACCTTGCCAGCATCCGAGATGGCTGCAACCCTGTGTAGGGCCCTGATGATAGACCAGACCTTTCTGTGTTCAGTGGCCTCTGTGTGAGAAGCTTAAGCACCACCCTGGCTCTCTCTAGCTGGGTTTATATGACATGTGTTTGTGTGACAGAGATTGAAGAGTGAGGTGATTTGCTCAGCTGCCTGCCTTCTGGCTCCGTGCCTATCCCACCCCACTCCACAGCTAGAGCTGGGCCAGAAACCCGACCCGCTTTCCCAGCTGTGTGGGCAGGTCACATGGGCTCACCTGGCTCTAACACTGAGCTGGGACTCTGGTCCTTTTGTTGGGTGTGGGAGAGACCAGCTTTCTCGTGGTCTCTCCCGCCCTCTCTGGCTCTGCCCTCAGGCTGCGGCCCCCAGACCTGGGGCAGCGTGTCCAGCTGTGGGAGCACTTTCAGAGCCTGCTGTGGACCTATAGCCGCCTGCGGGAGCAGGAACAGTGCTTCGCCATGGAGGTGATTACTGGGCGCAGGAGTCCGCAGGACTTGGAGCTGTCAGGTCAGAGGCGGCCTTCAGCTTTAAGACCATGTTTTAACCCTAATGAGTGAAGGCACAAGCAGCCCCTGAAACTCGTGTATTCAGACAGAGTTGTTCTTTCTGGCCATATGGAGGGTTGGGTACTCTGATGGGCTTTCCCATGGTAAAACAGCTCGATCCTGGATAATACAGACTTTTAATGTAATTTTTGGGTTCACTGTAAATTACAGAAATCTTTGAAGACAGTTCCTTCAACCCTCCCCTCCTCCTCCCACAAAATTATATTGAGGTGGAACAGGAGGGGAAAGCAGTGGAGAAGAACACAGCGCTAAAGGTAAGATTGCCCTGACTGCAAATGATACCAGCACTACAGGCAGTAAACAGCCTTAGGCCAGCAGCAGCATAGTAAAGCTGAGCCTGCAACTCTAGTTTAAGCCCAGCCCCAAAAAGTTAAAGTGGCTGCTGGTCCTTTTATAAGGCATAGTCAATAAAAAACTAAAAAATTAAAAATAAAAACTAAAGTGGCTGCTGGTCGGTAGCACTCCTTGGCTTCCTAAAGAGGTAAACCAAATTATCTTGCAAGCAGTGGTTTTCATACGCCAGTGTGTGTCAGAACCTTCTATAGGGCTTGTCAAATACAGGTTACTGGGCCTCACTTTCAGCATTTCTCATTTAGCAAGTCTGGGATGGGGGCTCTAGAACTTGCATTTTTTTTTTTTTTTTTTTGAGACGGAGTCTCGCTGTGTCGCCCAGGCTGGAGTGCAGTAGAGCGATCTCTGCTCACCGCGACCTTCCGGGTTCAAGTGATTCTCCTGCCTCAGCCTCTCGAGTAGCTGGGATTACAGGCACATGCCACTACGCCTGGCTAATTTTTGTGTTTTTAGTAGAGATGGGGTTTCACTATGTTGGTCCGGCTGGTCTCGAACTCCTGACCTCATGATCCACCCACCTCAGCCTCCCAAAGTGCTGGGATTACAGGCATGTGCCACCGTGCCCAGCCCTAGAACTTGCATTTCTAAAAAATTCCCAGGTGCTGTTTATTGTGCTCGTCCAGGAACCACACTTTGAAAACCACTGCTAAAGCAGGACAGGTTAAGATCGAACAAATGTGAACTCACAACTGAAGAAAATCAGATACAGAAGAAAATAAGCCACCATGAGTGAGAGTCAGGAAAATCAATCACCAGCAGATTTAGATCCCAAGGCACTTGATACATTGGAACTATTCGGTATGGAATATAAAATAACTATGAAATATTTAAAGATATGAAATGTAGAATCACAAAACGAGATAAGTAGAAGAAACTCTAAATTGACCAGGCTAATTTGAAAAAGAACCCATACAGATATTTTAGAAATGAAAACATAGTTGTTAAAATGAAAACTCAAGGGATGTGTTAAATAGCAGATGAGACATAGCTAGAGGGAGAATTAATGAGCTGGAAAATAGATCTGAAGGAATCCATTCTCGCACCCCCACTCATTCACTCTTCCAATAAATATATAGTACCTATTATATGCTAAGAGGTGTGCCAGGCCTTGGGAATAAAGAGATGAATAAAGACACATTCACTGCCCTTGAGGAGAAATCAGCCATGTATATACTAAAAGATATAATAAAGAATCCGGGGTGCCATATTGGGTTTTTCATCAAAAGCCATGGTGGCACAAGAGATGGAGTGGTTAACTCTTTTTGGGACATTAGGAAAGACTTCTTGTAGGAGGTGACCTAATGCCATTAGTATAAAATCCAAACTCCTTCCCAAGCCTACCAGGCCCTGTGTGATCTATCACTGCCTGTCCCACTCCAGCTTCATCTCATTCCTCTCTTGTCCACACTTACTAAGTGCTAGTCTCATGAAACGTCTTTAAGTTTCAGGAAAACTCTATATTTAGATCTGTCCAATATAATAGTCATTAGCTACATGTGGCTTTTGAACATTTGAAATATAGCTAGTGCAAATTGAGTTATGCCATGCATGTGAAATATATACCAGATTTTGGTAACTTAGCACAAAAAAGAATGTAAAACATTCCCATTAATAAGGCTTTTATATCGTATGGTGATAATATTTTGGATATATTGAGTAAAATGAAATATATAATTAAAATTAAAAAATTTTAAAAAAGAAAAAAAAACATTTCTGTCATCATTCCTTTGGTTGGAATGGAAGCCCTTTGAAAGCAAGAATCTCACATTATTGATCATAAATACAACAGGTCTGCTGCCGAGGAGTGGTCCTCATTAATGCCAGTTAATCTCATACCAATTTTTTTTTTTTTTTTTTTAGACAGACTCTCACTCTGTCACCCAGGCTGGAGTGCAGTGGTGTGATCTTGGCTCACTGCAACCTCCACTTACGAGATTCAAGCAATTCTCCTGCCTCAGCCTCCCCAGTAGCTGGGATTACAGGCACCCACCACCACGCCTGGCTAATTTCTGTATTTTTAGTAGAGATGAGGTTCCACCATGTTGGCCAGGCTGATCTCAAACTCCCGACCTCAGGTGATCCACCTGCCTCGGCCTCCCAAAGTGCTGGGACTACAGGCATGAGACACCACACCTGGTCCTCCAATTTTGATTCTTTCTTTTTTTTTTTTTTTTTTGAGATGGAGTTTCGCTCTTGCAGCCCAGGCTGGAGTCCAGTGGTGCTATCTCAGCTCACTGCAACCTCCGCCTCCCAGGTAGCTGGGATCACAGGGTGCCTTCCACCACACCTGGCTAATTTTTGTTTTTTTAGTAGAGGATTTCACCATTTTGGCCAGGCTGGTCTCAAACTCCTGACCTCAGGTGATCTGCCCGCCTTGGCCTCTCAAAGTGCTGGGATTACAGGCATGAGACACCACCACTGGCCAGATTCTTTTTTTCATTAACTCAGTCAATGAGTACCTACTTAAGCACCTACTCTATGCCAGTGATACGCTTTGGCTGTGTCCTCACCAAAATCTCATCTTGAATTCCCATGTGCTGTGAGAGGGACCCAGGGGGAGGTAATCGAATCATGGGGGCAGGTCTTTTCCATGCTGTTCTCATGATAGTGAATAAGTCTCACAAGATCTGACGATTTTAAAAGGGGGAGTTCCCCTACACAAGCGCTCTCTCTTTGCCTGCTACCATCCATGTAAAATGTGACTTGCTCCTCCTTGCCTTCTGCCATGATTGTGAGGCCTCCCCAGCCATGTGGAACTGTAAGTCCATTAAACCTCTTTCTTCTGTAAATTTCCCAGTCTCCAGTATGTCTTTATCAGCAGCATGAAAATGGACTAATACAATCACCTGTTTTAGAAATGATGGTCAGAAAAGACCTGCATAAGGAGTTAACTCTCGAGCAGAGGCATAGATGATGAGACCAATTCAACTACCAGGAAACCTGGGGGAAGAGTGTGCCATGCAGAAAGAACGTCAAGTCCAGAGGCCCTGCTGAGATGGAAAGAAGGCTGGTGGGCTGGGCACAGTGGCTCACGCCTGTAATCCCAGCACTTTGGGAGGCCAAGGTGGATGGATCACTGGAGGTCAGGAGTTTGAGACCAGCCTGGCCAACATGATGAATCCCCGTCTCTACTAAAAATACAAAAACTAGCCTGGTGTGGAGGCACACACCTGTAGTTCCAGCTACTTGGGAGGCTGAGGCAGGAGAATCACTTGAACCCCAGAGGCAGAGGTTGCAGTGAGCCAAGATCACACCACTGCACTCCAGGCTGGACAACAGAGCTAGACTCCGTTTCAAAAAAAAAAAAAAGAAAAAGAAAGAAAGAAGTTCAGTGTATTTAAGGCACAAGAAGAATATGGTGGCTAGAGGTAGACCAGTGGCCAGGTGAGGTGGCTTACACCTGTAATCCCAGCATATTGGGAGGCCAAGGCTGGAGGATGGCTTAAGCCCAGGAGTTCCAGACCAGCCGGGGCAACATAGTGAGACCCCATTTCTACAAAAAATTAAAAATTAGCCAGGAGTGGCAGCATGAGCCTCTAGTCCCACCTACTCGGAGGCTGAGGTGGGAGGATTGCTTGAGCCCAAAAGGTCAAGACTGCAGTGAGCCATGATCACACCACTGCACTCCAGCCTGGACAACAGAGCAAGACCCTGTCTCAAAGAAGTAAATATTTTAAAAATAACAAAGGTAGACAGTGACCACACAGGCCACAAAAAGATATTCATATTTCCCTCTAAGCATATAATGGGAAGCTAGTAGAAGGTTGTGGACAGATTCCTTTGACCACCATATAGAGAAGAAACCCTAGAGCAGCAAGAGTGTATCCAAGCGTGATGTGAAATGGGGATAAAAAGTGATAGCATTCGGCTGGGCACAGTGGCTCACGCCTGTAATCCCAGCACTTTGAGAGGCCGAGGCGGGTGGATCACAAGGTCAAGAGTTCGAGACCAGCCTGACCAACATGGAGAAACCCCATCTCTACTAAAGATACAAAAAATTAGGCAGGCGTGGTGGCACACGCCTGTAATCCCAGCTACTTGGGAGGCTGAGGCAGGAGAATTGCTTGAACCCGGGAGGCGGAGGTTGCAGTGAGCTGAGATTGCGCCACTGCACACCAGCCTGGGTGACAGGGCAAGACTCTGTCTCAAAAAAAAAAAAAAAAAAAAAGTGATAGCATTCAAGATGCATTGTGCAAGTAGAATAAAGAGAACATAGTGAAGAACTAAATGTGGGAGGGAAGGAAAAACGAACTACCAGTGATGACTACAAGGCTTTCCACTGGGCACAATTCACCAGACACCATTAACAAAAATTAGGAAAAAAAAAAAATGAGCAGTTGGGAGAGAGCTTATGGAAATAGGTGCTGCTATTAGCATTCTCATTTTTCAGATGAATAAGCAGGTTTAGAGAGGTTGAATAGGCCAGGTGCGGTGGCTCACGCCTGTAATCCCAGCACTTTGAGAGGCTGAGGCGGGTGGATCACAAGGTCAGGAGTTCGAGACCAGCCTGACCAACATGGTGAAACCCCGTCTCTACTAACAGTACAAAAAATTAGCCGGATATGGTGGTGGGCACCTGTAATCCCAGCTACTCGGGAGGCTGGGGCAGATAATTGCTTGAACCTGGGAGGCAGAGGTTGCAGCGAGCCGAGATCTCGCCACTGCACTCCAGCCTGGGCAACAGAGCGAGACTCTGTCTCAAAAAAAAAAAAAAAAAAAAAAAGAGGTTGAATAACCTGTCCAAGTTCACCCAAATGATAAGTGGAATTACTAAGTCCTTTCACACACATTTATTTTCACCCCCACAGCGCCCTCTAATTATCATCTTCAATTTACAAATAAGGAAACAAGGCAAGGAATGTGAAGGCCACACATAGCTATCAAGTGGCAGAGCTGGCTGGGCACAGTGGCTTATGCCTGTAATCCCAACACTTTGGGAGGCCGAGGCGGGGGGATCACAAGGTCAAGGGATTGAGACCATCCCAGCCAACATGGTGAAACCCTGTCTCTACTAAAAATATAAAAATTAGCTGGGCATGGTGGCGCATGCCTGTATTCCCAGCTACTCAGGAGGCTGAGACAGGAGAATCACTTGAACCCAGGAGGTGGACGTTGCAGTGAGCTGAGATCGCGCCACTGCACTCCCGCCTGGCAACAGAGCGACACTCCGTCTCAAAAAAAAAAAAAGAAAAGAAAAGAAAAAAAAAAGAATGTGGCAGAGCCTAGACTTCAGGTATATTTTCTAATAAAGGAGACATACTAGGCGGCTAAGGAAACCTATGTCAGGTAGAAAGGATCTGAGGTTTGAATAAAGTCATGCCCTCAGATTATCTTTCATTGTTTTAAAATTCCGAAAGAAAGACACCAGGAGGAACTCCATAGCCTGGGAGTTGCTGAGAGGACAGCACTGTTATCTACTGTAGTAAAGCAGTTCCTGAGTCGTCACTTCAGAATCACAGCTAATGCGGAGCTCTTGGGCTCCAGCATAAACATATCCGTATAATCTATCAAAATGAGACCCAGAATCTGAATTTTTAAAAATACTATCCTGGTCAGGTGTGGTGGCTCACGCCCGTAATCCCAGCACTTTGGGAGACCGAGACAGGAGGACTGCTTGAGCCCAGGAGTTTGAGACTAGCCTTGGCAACATGATGAGACTTCGTCTCCACAGAAGTTTTTTTTTTTTTTTTTAATTAGCCAGGCAGCCGGACGCAGTGGCTCACGCCTGTAATCCTAGCACTTTGGGAGGCCGAGGTGGGTAGATCACCTGAGGTCAGGAGTTCGAGACCAGCCTGGTCAGCAAGGTGAAACCCCGTCTCTACTAAAAGGAAAATTAGCCGGGCATGTTGGTACACGCCTGCAATCCCAGCTACTCGGGAGACTGAAGCAGGAGAATCACCTGAACCTGGGATGCGGAGGTTGCAGTGAACTGAGATAGCGCCACTGCACTCCACTCCAGCCTGGAAGACAGAGCAAGACTCCGTCTAAAAAAAAAAATTAGCCAGGCATGGTGGCATGCACCTGTAGCCTCAGCTGCTCCGCACGCTGAGGCGAGAGGACCACTTTAGACCAGGAGTTAAAGACCAGCCCGGGCAACATAGTGAGACGCTGTCTCTACAAAATTTTTAAAAATCATTAGCTGGCCGGGTACGGTGACTCATGCCTGTAACCCTAGCCCCAGTGGGTGGACTGTTGAGCTCAGGAGTTTGAGACCAGCCTGAGCAACATAGCAAAACCCCATCTCTACCAAAAATACAAAAATTAGGCAGGCGTGGTTGTGCGTGCCTGTGTACACCAACGACTCGGGAGGCTGAACTGGGAGGATCGCTTGTACCTGAGAAGTCGAGGGTGCAATAAGCCGTGATCCTGCCACTACATTTCAGCCTGGGCGACAGAGCGAAACCCTGTCTCAAAAAATAAATAAAAATAAATAAAAACACTGTTCCAGAAATCCCTGTCCTACAATTAAGTTTGAGAACTGCGGAAGTATGGTTTGAACTCTGGCGGTTAGAACCCTAAACTAACAGTCTGATCTAGGCAGGTCACTTGGCACTTCTGAGCCTCAGTTTCCACAACTATAAAGGCGGAGGAGTAACAATAAGGACCGCCTAAGACACCGACGGACCTCCCCTGCGCTGAGTTTCACATTAAGCAGGCAGGTAGAACAGGCGGGGAGTCGCGGGTGACGGTGGGATACATGGGGGCTGAGGCGCGCCGCGAAGCATTGTGGGACACAGAAGGGCGCCAGTCGCTCCCCGCCTCGAGCTTCGATTGCGCGGCCGCCAAGTTTCAGTGATGAACGCCCTCTTTGGGCGTCCCCGGATACCGCCTGACGTAGTGCCAATCACACCTCTCGCGTCTCGGCGCCTCGGAGGCTAATGAGGACGCCTGGCGAAACGCAGTAACGGATTTCCGGGTGGACCTTCGCTTTACGGCTCGTGAGTTCTTCCGCCCAACCCAGAGGAAGCGGGAGAGCAGTTTACGACAGCGCCGGTCGTGTTTACGGCGGCGCCCGCTGCGCGCGCATGTTTCCTCTTTTCCTGGTTTCTCAAGAGTGCTGCTGCTAACGCGGTCCCCGGCACGCACCATCTGTTGCCATCCCGGCCGGCCGAGGCCATTGCAGGTGAGCGGCGTGTTTCATAGGTTCCTGCGGCCCTCCGGAGCCGGTTCGGACTAGGTCCAGCCTTCGGGGGGCCTCCCGGAAGAGACCTCTCTTAGTCCCTTCCTGCTGTTGCCGTCCCTCCGCTGGGCGGGGCAGGAATCCACTTTCGGGGGCCCCGCGTCCCGCACGCTACTGAACGCGGGACACGACCTTGTGGGTGAGGTCCTTGGCCCTCGGCCCTGCTCAGTGCCCATGAGCTGGGTGAATTTGATTGTCACTTAACTCACCTGGGTTAAGACGGAGGGGTAACAACAAAGTCTTTCTGAAGTGGCCGAAAACTCCCTGACTTTTTGAGTGAGGTCTTAGGGGTACCAGGCTGAGCGGTGTTTGGCCCCTGTTCTTAGGAATTCACAGTGCATAGGTTATCTTTCCTTTTTTGTGAAACTGGAGGCTAGGATAGAGAAGTAGATTTGATCTCTGATCTTAAATCTACCCCACCCCCTGTTCAGCGATGGACGGCTTATGATCTGTAGTGGCCTGCCAACCACAGAGCCCCTTCTGAGTGCCCTCTTGGAACCTCCCTATCCTGCCCCTGTGACTAGTACAGCTGTTACTTCGTTTTTGCTGAGCGGCTCAGTTTCTCCTCCTGGTTCCGCTCTGCTCTTAAAAAAAAAAACATTTATTAAAGCCAGGGTATCTCATCCCTGGCTTTCCAGGGAGGTGATGCAGGTCGAGCCTCGGGCCTCTTCCCTTCTTGAGCTTCTGACAGAACCCGATTTTTTAAAGTGTGTTTTGAGACTCGTTGTCTTGGTATTATGATGTACGGTCTCAAACCCCTGATCTTTGCGGGCTGCTGCCCAGCTGTAATATAATGGAAAGAAGGCTGGACTGACAGCAGGCAACCCTGGAAATCAAATCTGTTTTGAAATGATGAGGTCAGCTGCTTGAGTAGGCTGAGCTTCAAATTTTTGCCTCTAAAGTAGGGGTGGGGGGGTGGTCAATGGTGTTAAATTATCTGGTATAGGGCCTAACACGTAGGAGCTCAGCAATATTTATTTAATACAA
Source organism: Homo sapiens (assembly GCF_000001405.40). Lineage (NCBI taxonomy): Eukaryota > Metazoa > Chordata > Mammalia > Primates > Hominidae > Homo > Homo sapiens. The sequence goes on along the minus strand of NC_000022.11, from coordinate 36,528,031 downwards.
ATTGTTCTGAGACCACCACCCTTTTTCTTCTGTCCTCTTCCTATAGTTTCTATTAGAAAGATGAAACTTCTAGGTTCATCCTGTGTTGCTGTCACCCAAATGTCATCTCTGAAGGAAGCCTCAATCTCCCCAGCATGGGGCTTTGAGGAGAGTTTACTAAGTTCAGCATACCTGTTCTTTTGATTGCTCTCCAGCCTCCAAGAAACATTTGATTTTTGTTTTTTTGAGACGGAGTCTTGCTCTGTTGCCCAGGCTGGAGTGTAATGGCAGGATCTTGGCTCACTGCAACCTCCGCCTCCTGAGTAGCTGGTATTACAGGTGCCCGCCACCACGCCCAGCTAATTTTTGTATTTTTAGTAGAGACTGGGTTTCACCATGTTGACCAGGCTGGTCTCGAACTGCTGACCTCGTGATCCGCCCACCTCGGCCTCTCAAAGTGCTGGGATTACAGGCGTGAGCCACCGCGCCCGGCCTCCAAGAAATACTTGTGTAGTGAATTTTCCTCTAGGAACTCGCCTTCTAAGCATTTTCAGAAGGTTACAACGGAAGATAAATGCATAGGTTTTTTTATAGAAGTGTCGGGCAGCCATCTGCTATACAGCGCCGGTTTTTTAATTCCCAAGAGGGCTATAGCATTATGCAGAGTGCAGACTCTGGGGTCAGACTGCTTTGGTTCACGTTTTTCATCCACTAGCATTTCAACTTTGGGCAATTTCTTCATTTCTCTGTGCTTTGGTTTTCTTATCTGGAGAGTGCGGATAACATTGGCTCCTACCTCACAGGATTGTTGGCAGGACTGTATGAATGAATGAGTGGTAAACAGTAAGAACAGTGCCTGGCAGTATTCATGAACATTTAACATGGCAACTTTGGGCCTGAGGTCTGTGGGGACCTCCTTGGCCCTCTGGCAGTTCTTCTGCCTGGCTTTATGTCCGCTTGCACTGCACACAGGATTTGCGTTGATGGCAGAAAATTGAAACAATGAGAAAGGAAAATTGAATTTCAGGATATACTTAAAGATCTTTTTTTCTCAGCACTCTATATACATAAATGCACTTTTGCAAGTCTGAATACTTGTGTGGCATTATACAAAGTGCTTAGAACAAGGATCTTGTTTATTTTGCAGATGGAAAAGACTAAGGTGGCTGGACGTGGTGGCTCACGCCTGTAATCCCAGCACTTTGGGAGGTCGAGGCGGGAGGATCATTTGAGGTCAGGAGTTCAAGACTAGCCTGGACAACATGGTGAAACCCTGTCTCCACTAAAAACACAGAAAATAGCCAGGCGGCGCTTGCCTGTAATCCCAGCTACTCAGGAGGCTGAGGCAGGAGAATCGCTTGAACTCGGAAGGCGGAAGTTGCACGCCACTGCACCCCAGCATGGGTGACAAAGTGAGACTCTGTCTCAAAAAAAAAAAAGAAAGAAAGAAAAGACTACTAAGTCTTAGGGAAGTTGAGTTTGTATGAATTGGTGAAGGTATATCTCAGAACCAAAACAAGGTTACTATATTTGAAAAAACATTAGGACATTTTATCAAATCTGACACCATTAAATTTTTTTAAACACTTATGTAACACAGAAAAAGAAAAACTACCAATCAATACAACACCCTGTCAAACACAAGGTGCAGCCTCATTTTAAAGATGTTACAGTAAAAAGAGAGTGTCGTGGAATTAATGAAATATGAAAAATCAGTTTTGTTTGCATTCTTCTCAGTTTTAAGTACATATTCACAGTATAATTAACAAAAACAGTAGTAGTCGCTCAACAGTTGAGGGTTCCATTTTGCGTGTTGCTTTTTGAGTTCTATCATTTATGTCTTTGCTTACTTCATATGGAGGGTGTTTTGTACTCTGAGGCCTTCGTTCATGCCGCTACTCACATGATTTATATTTTTCAGATTTTGGAAGATGGCAAAGTTCATGACACCCGTGATCCAGGACAACCCCTCAGGCTGGGGTCCCTGTGCGGTTCCCGAGCAGTTTCGGGATATGCCCTACCAGCCGTTCAGCAAAGGAGATCGGCTAGGAAAGGTACATGCCTGTCAGCAGGAGTCTGAATCTTTGCAGCTGTGGCTGCTACTCTCGAGTCCCTGTTTAGATTTTATTGTCTCAAAATCTTAACTCCTGAATTTCTTATAGGGATGCCAGCTGAGAAAGGTTATCTCTGGGTGTAGTCATAGAAGAGCTGGGCACTTACAGAGGTGTTGTGAACAAATTCTGAGACTCTTCCACGCTGTCCTCTCGCGCTCAGGGATTTCTGGTTCTGCAGAAACTTGCCTGGTTGACCTGTGCATTCTCTGTCTTTTCTTGTTCTTCGTAGGTTGCAGACTGGACAGGAGCCACATACCAAGATAAGAGGTACACAAGTAAGTGTTTCTGCAACTGAATGCCCCAATCAGGGCCTTGGGAAAGTTGTTCTTTATTCTAATGACCTTCTTCTGAAAGCTTTTTAGAATGGGAAGAAACTGCCAACAATAATTCATAACTTTTAGGGATGTATTCTGGGCTTTAACAATAACCACATTTTTGGAAATAGCCCTCAAAACTTAGACCATTCATTAAAGAGGTCTAGCCTATTAAAATGGGGTTTTGGGCCCTTTTAAAAACCTGTTGAAAACATTAGCTGGGCGTGGTGGCGTGCACCTGTAATCCCAGCTACTCGGGTGGCTGAGGCAGGACAATCACTTGAACCCAGAAGTTAGAGGTTGCAGTGAGCAGAGATCATGCTATTGTACTCCAGCCTGGTGACAGAGCCAGATCCTGTCTCCAAAAAAAAAAAAAAAAAAAAAAGTAAAACCCCTGGTTTTAAGATCCTGGTACCATAAAAAGGCTTTTTCTCTCTGCCACTTCAGATAGTTGGAGGTGGCTGCCTGGAGAACTAAGTTAGGATAGCTGAGGCTGAGATTGGCAAGAAAGTATATCGTGATCTATTAGACATACCTGCCATGGGCCCCTGATAATGGAGATGGTGGTTAGCAATAAATACCTCAGATTCTCACACAATAACGCAGAGAGTGAAATGGGTTAGTTTGAGTCCTTCAGATTCTTGGCTTAGAAAGTTCTTTAGGCCAGAGTTGTTCAAAATTGAATGTGCATATGAATCATCCGGGGATCTTGTTAAAATGCTGGTTCTGATTCAGTGGGTATGGGGTGGGACTGTGAGTCTGTGTGTCTAACAAGCTTTCAGCCAATGCTACAGGTCTCAAGACCACACTTGAAATAGCAAGGCTTTAGACTGGTGCATATCTGGTAAAGTCTGTGGGTGCAGTTACTACATGCCATCACCTTTGCCTCCAGATAAGTACTCCTCTCAGTTTGGTGGTGGAAGTCAATATGCTTATTTCCATGAGGAGGATGAAAGTAGCTTCCAGCTGGTGGATACAGCGCGCACACAGAAGACGGCCTACCAGCGGAATCGAATGAGATTTGCCCAGGTAGGCCAAGAGCCAGCAACCACACCATCTTGGGGCTGTTACTGTTGGCCATCACCTGCTAAAAAATGCTACCTTGTGACTCCTAATGAGAGAGGGAAGCATATTATAGGTCTTTTCGTGAATCTCGGGTCACCGTTCCATAACAAGTGGTACCAAGGTGAACTTGCACTAGGATCAGGGATGCATTTAAATAGTTTATATTTCTGTTTGCCAGTAGCTAGGACATCAGACTTGTATGCTAAAAACATTTGTGCTGGATAAGAAGGTGCACCTGTGCCTGTTACCACACTTAATTGCTGTGTGCAGACTTTATTAAGTAGATGGTCCAGTCAGATTGCCTATTATTATTTAAAGAGGCAAACTCAGAAAATCTAATGAGACCCAGTAAACATACTTCAATGAAAAATATATCATGGGAGTATAGGTCTAAGCAAAGTCCAAGCACTTACCCCCTAACACCCCCAAGCTGTTGATGCCGTAGAGTGAAAGCACAGAGTAAGATGTGAAACTTGGGATTTGGCATCCTAAATTTACTCCAAAGACCTCCCACTTGTTCTGCCTATTGTGAGCCAAATCTCCAAGATTTTAACATGGATGTTTCTTGCTGATGCCCAGAGGAACCTCCGCAGAGACAAAGATCGTCGGAACATGTTGCAGTTCAACCTGCAGATCCTGCCTAAGAGTGCCAAACAGAAAGAGAGGTGAGATTTTCATCCTGCTGGAACAAGACACCCTTCCCAGACTGGCCGTATTTGGAAACCACAGGACCAAAGCAGGAGGATGGTTGTATTCCCCACCACTGCAAAAAAGGAAAATACTTTCTACAACCAGTTAAGCCCCCTTTTAGCTTGTCGTTCTCAGGCTGGTTCATGGCAGATAGCATGGGCAGGAAACTAACTCCTTGTGCTGGTCATGCGCACTAAAGGGAAACACAGGCAGGCAAGAAGAGGCTCTGGAGCTTACCTGGGCTCAGTTCTGCTGTGGGTCAACTCTAGGAAGCCCCCTGTATGCTGGTCCTTTGAGCCTCCTGGTGTTGTGTGGTCCAGCGGCCACTACACCCCAGATTGGAACTATCAGTGAACAGTCACTATAGATGAAGTAAAATCATCTGGTCAGTATTTGGAGGCAGTGTACCTTTTCTAACACCTCCAGTATGCACCGTCTGGGTCTCTTCCTTTCTCTAAGCCCATTTTTCGTAGTTTAAAGGAGTTAGTGGTGATGGTAAGGTTTAGCTGAAGAGAATGGCAGCGTGTGCCTTTTGAAGAAGCCACTGGTTTAAAGGTCTGCACTGAGATCATATGTCTGTCTTTCCAGAGAACGCATTCGACTGCAGAAAAAGTTCCAGAAACAATTTGGGGTTAGGCAGAAATGGGATCAGAAATCACAGGTAATGTATTTATACCAGAATTCTGCCTTGGAATTTGGTTCTGTTTATTTGGTTGTCTTTATTAATAGCTTAGATGAGATATACTTCACATACCGTACAATTTAGTGGTTTTTAATATATTTGAAGAGTTCTGTAACTGGTCAATTTCAGACCATTTTCATCACCCTCAAAAGAATCCCTTACCCTTTAGCAGTCACCCTGTCTTGATCTGTTTTCCGTTGCTAGAACAGAATACCTGAGAGTGGGTAAGTTATAAAGCGGTTTCTTTAGCTCATGGTTCTGGGGACTGGGAAGTCCCAGATCAGGAGCCACATCTGGTGAGGGCCTCATGCTGCTTGATAGCATGGCAGAAAAAGCAGAAGCGGGAGCAGGGTGCAACAGAGAAAAGGGCTAAACTTTGGGTAGTTAGCCCATTCCTGAGAGAAGGGCATGAGGCATTTATTCCTTTTAACGACCTAATCTCTTAAAGGCCCTACCTCCCGACACTGCCGCAGTAGCAACCAGATTGCCAAATGAATTCCAGGAGGCACACCCAAACACCAGCACCCCCAGTAGCCCAGCAGTAGGCAGCTATGAATCTGTTTTCTGTCTCGGGATTTTTTGTTCTAGACATTTTACATAAATGGAATCATACAATATGTGGTCTTTAGTAACTGGCAGCTTTTATTTAGCGTGTTTTCAAGAGTCATCCATGTGGTAGCATGTGTCGGTACAGTTTTCCTTCAGTATATGAAAGTCTACACATTCTCAAGTCCCACATTCGGCCTGTGGTAGCCACATATATGAAAAGTCGGCCCTCCATATACTCGGGGTTTGCATCCCAAGAATACTGTTTTCTTTTTCTTTTCTTTTTTGAGACAGAGTCTTGCTCTGTCACCCAGGCTGGAGTGCAGTGGCATGAATCTTAGCCAACTGCAACCTCTGCCTGCTGGGTTCAAGTGATCCTCCTACCTCAGCCTTCTGAGTAGCTGAGACTATAGGCATGCACCACCACGCCTGGCTAATTTTTGTATTTTCTGTAGATAGGGGGTTCTGCCATGTTCCCCAGGCTGGTCTCAAACTCCTGAGCTCAAGCAGTCCACCCACCTCAGCCTCCCAAAGTGCTGGGGTTACAGCCATGAGCCACTGCGCCTGGCTTGTATTTTCAATCCATGTTTGTTTGAAGAAAATCTGCATATTAAGTAGACCCATGTACTTCAAACCCATGTTGTTCAAGTTCAGCTGTGCTTCATCTGTTGTTGGTTTTTTTGGTTTTTGTTTTTTGTTTTTTTAAGATGGAATCTCACTCTGTCACCCAAGCTGCAGTGCCAGTGGCGCGATCTTGGCTCACTGCAACCTCCGCCTCCCGGGTTAAAGTGATTCTCACACCTCAGCCTCCCAGGTAGCTAGGATTACAGGCACGTGCCAACATGTCTGGCTTTTTTTTTTTTTTTTTCATATGTTTTGTAGAGACAGGGTTTTACCATGTTGGCCCGGCTGGTTTCAAACTCCTGACCTCAGATGATCCACCCACCTCAGCCTCCCAAAGTGCTGGGATTACAGGCGTGAGGCACCACACCCAGCCCAGATGAGCTTCTTTTCTTGTTTATTGCCAAATAAGAGTCCTTTGAATTATACATCATGTTGTTTTGAGCCATTCACATGCTGATGAACATTTGAGTTGTTTTTCACTTTTTGACTATTATTGATGCTGCTGTGAACGTTCACCTGCGTGTGCTTGTGTGGGCATTCTGAGAACAGAACACATGTAAGCAAAAGTGAAGCTACATTTTGTTGGATATGATGCTGTATCAAGAATAGTTAATAACCCGAGAGAAATATAAAGGACCTTCTACATGTTCATCAGGTGACATCATTACCTGGGAGTGGAACCCCATTTGCTTTTGAACTTTTGATCCCTTTGGTCCTCTTCCACACCATAAATTCCTGGGAGTCAGGGATTCTGTCTTATAAAACAGTCAGCACTCCATTTATTGAATAAAAGCTCTTTTTCTTTTCTCTCTTTTATTGAGACGCAGTCTTGCTCTGTCACCCAGGCTGGAGTGCAGTGGTGCTATCTCAGCTCACTGCAACCTCCGCCTCCCAGATTCAAGCTGTTCTCCTGCCTCAGCCTCCCGAGTAGCTGGGATTACAGGCATGCATCACCATGCCTGGCTAATTTTTGTATTTTTAGTAGAGATGGGGTTTCACCATGTTGGACAGGCTGGTCTCGAACTCCTGACCTCAGGTGATCTGCCCGCCTTGGCCTCCCAAAGGGCCACTGAGCCCCTCCGTTTTATGTGGTTGTTGTTTGAGACAGGATCTCGTGTCACTCAGGCTGGAGTGCAGTAGTGCAATCATAGCTCACTGCAGCCTCAAACTCCTGGGCTCAAGCAATCATCCTGCCCCAGCTTCCCAAAGTGCTGGGACTACAGGCATGAGCCACTGCACCAGGCCAGCTCTTCATATTTTTAGCCTGTCTTTTATTTATGTTTTGTATGGACTATAACTTTTTTTTCCTCTAATGGTTTTCAACTGCAGAAACCCCGAGACTCTTCAGTTGAAGTTCGTAGTGATTGGGAAGTGAAAGAGGAAATGGATTTTCCTCAGTTGATGAAGATGCGCTACTTGGAAGTATCAGAGCCACAGGACATGTAAGCAGCATCTTTTACTACTTTCTACACTGCTCTTATGTGTGTGGACCAGCTGGTGATGGGTATTTTCTTAAGCCCTAGTATTTCCAAAAAGGCTTTGAAGCCACTTACTCAAAACACATTTCATAAGGTTAACAGAGGTATTTGAAAAAAATCAAGACCGGCCAGGTGCAGTGGGTCACCTGAGGTCAGGAGTTCAAGACCAGCCTGGCCAACATGGTGAAACCCAGTCTCTACTAAAAATACAAAAACTTAGCCGGGTGTGGTGGCACACACCTGTAATCCCAGCTACTCAGGAGGCTGAGGCACGAGAATCACTTAAACCCTGGAGGTGGAGGTTGCAGTGAGCTGAGATCTTGCCATTGCACTCCAGCCTGGGCAACAAGAGCGAAACTCCATCTCAAAAAAAAAAAAATCAAGACCAAGGGGAAAAGCAGAAGTTCACTGACTGCAAACTTCTTTTTAACTTCCTGGTATCCTGAGGAAAGAAGAAATGAGTTATACAACTCTTTTGGCAGAAAGAGAAAGCAGAATGGAATTTGCTGATTATTAAACTGTATATTTCTGTTTCCTGGCATCCTGAGCAAAAGAGCAATAAGATTAAGTTATAAAACTCTTGTCAGGAAAAGAAACACAGCAATTCTTCAGGAGGAATCTTTGCTTCTCCTGACATTTCAAATAGCTTCTTACCTCAAAGGACAAGTAGGTGGAATTTAGGTAGTGGGAAACCAGAGCACCAGACGAGAAGTCAGCCTACCCAGGTGCTTCTATAACTAGTCATCTCCTGTCTTAGCCTCGGTCACCCTACCTTTAAAATGGGGGCGTTGGGCTAGATGAGTTGTGCTTGCTGTGTTCTATGCCAGGTGTTAAGTGGACAGGAACTGAGCAAGCACTGAGGATTCGTCTCTCCTGCTCTGGCCAGAGATTGCTTTCCACCTCTTTTAGACTTTTGGATAAGACTTCTGGATGTATGGCTTAAAAGAAAAAACTGGGGGTTATCTCTCTTACTTTGCATGTCTTTGCCTGCTCTTCCCACAGTGAGTGTTGTGGGGCCCTAGAATACTACGACAAAGCCTTTGACCGCATCACCACGAGGAGTGAGAAGCCACTGCGGAGCATCAAGCGCATCTTCCACACTGTCACCACCACAGACGACCCTGTCATCCGCAAGGTGTGCGCCTCCTTCTGCCCCTCTCCCCCTTGTTAGGAATGCTGTCGGCTTCTACAGCTGAAGCTGCAGAAAGAACAGAAGACATGGGAATAACGTATGTATTATAGGTAAAAGCACTTTGCCAGGTAGACCGGAAATGTGGATGTTAAGCACAGCTGGACTTGAAGCCCAGTTCTGCCGCGCTTCCTGGCTTAGTCTCTGGAGCCTTAGTTCTCTCATCTGCAACAAGGGGTAGATGTACATAGCACTACCACTGGGGCAAAGGTGAAAGCATCTGAAGCACTTGGCTGGAATCTAGCAGGTGCTTAGGGTGCTGCAGTGCCACTGCCACCCGAAACTTGCTGGCTCACTGGCTGCAGTGTTTTTGGTCAATGAGGTGGGGCCTCCTTATTAAGGATTTATGTGGTCAGCAAAGGAGTTCTTTCCCATCCATGTGAGTGGGCAGTGAGACCTGGGAGTGTCTTTCCATCTTCTCTCTTTGATCCTCTTTGCAGCTGGCAAAAACTCAGGGGAATGTGTTTGCCACTGATGCCATCCTGGCCACGCTGATGAGCTGTACCCGCTCAGTGTATTCCTGGGATATTGTCGTCCAGAGAGTTGGGTCCAAACTCTTCTTTGACAAGAGAGACAACTCTGACTTTGGTAAGAAGCGTGCCTGGGGAGCAACTCAAAGGCATTGAGTATTTTTGTTGGTACAGAACAAGTCTCTGGTACTAGAGAATGGATAGAAAGTGGTCTGTCTTCCCAAGGGAATTGACAGCAGCAGTGTCTGAATCTCCCACACTCTTTAGAGGTTAGGAGAAGAGACTGTCACTGCAGTACCTGCTTGAGGCCTCAGCTTTTGGAGTCCTCACAGCACCCTAATAGCAAGCTTCCAAATGTTGCTTTTTTGTTGTTTTTTTTTTTTTTTAATTGAGACAGAGAGTCTCACTCTGTCACCCAGGCTGGAGTGCAGTGGCGCAGTCTTGGCTCACTGCAGCGTCTGCCTCCCACATTCAAGTGATTCTTCTGCCTCAGCCTCCCGAATAGCTGGGATTACAGGCATGTGCCATTACGCCTGGCTACTTTCTATATTTTTAGTAGAGACGGTTTCACCATGTTGGCGAGGCTGGTCTCGAACTCCTGGCCTCAAGTGATCCATCAGCCTTGGCCTCCCAAAGTGCTGCGATTAGAGGTGTGAGCCAACACACCTGGCCCAAATGTTATTCATTTAAATACCCCTTTTTCGACTTTTGCCATCTTGCATACCTTGTTCAGTGTTTGCTTACTGTATATACATATATATTTTTTATACCATACATATATGTATTTATACACCATAAAGGAAAACCATGTCACTCAAAAATTAACAAAACAGGCTGGACACGGTGGCTCACAACCTGTAATCCTGCCACTTTGGGAGGCCGAGGCGGAGAATCACTTGACATCAGGAGATCGAGACCAAGCCTGGCCAACATGGTGAAACCCAGTCTCTACTAAAAATACAAAAATTAGCCAGGTGTGGTGGTGGACACATGTAATCCCAGCTACTTAGGAGGCTGAGGCAGGAGAATCGCTTGAACCCAGGAGGCAGAGGTTGCAGTGAGCCGTGGACACACCACTGCACTCCAACCTGGGTGACAGAGCAAGACTCCATCTCAAAAAAAAAAGTGTTTATATTCTGAGCCTGAAGCCTGAGGTCTTTATTAAAAAGCTTGCAAAATCATTCTCTTGAGGAATCCAAAACGACTGAAAAGGGACAGCTTCGTTACTGTGTGATTGAATTGAATGTTGGACAGTATCTTGAGTTATCCTGGAGCAGCTGCCCCACTCCCCCGCTTATGTGTTCCACACCAGGGAGACCCACTTTAGGAGAGGGCAGTTCTTTGAAGGAAGGACTTGTGTTGTTTGCCTCTCCACATCTCCCCACAGCGCTGCGCACATTGTCAGTGACTCTTTGTTGCATGGTGAGTGACCATGCCACGCTTTTGCAGACCTCCTGACAGTGAGTGAGACTGCCAATGAGCCCCCTCAAGATGAAGGTAATTCCTTCAATTCACCCCGCAACCTGGCCATGGAGGCAACCTACATCAACCACAATTTCTCCCAGCAGTGCTTGAGAATGGTGAGGAAACGAGTCTCTGGGCATTGATTCATTCTTATTTAATCAGCTGCTGTTTGTGGAGCATCTGCTTTGTGCTAGGCTCTTGGTTGTGGGACTGAGCAGGTCAGACGCAGTCCCCACCTTTAGCAGGGGAGTTACATGCCTGGGCTTGGATGTTAGGCTCTCTGACTTTGAACAAAGTTCCTGCCCTTACAGAATTTAATGATAGTGGAGGAGGAAACACAGTGAACAATAAATAATAAATTGATTTACATCAAATGGTGAATATATGCCATGGCAAAAAAATGAAGTAGAGATGAGCATGGTTACTAAGTCATTGTTCTAATTCATCAGGTGCTAACAGTTGGGAGGGGTCAAGTAGGCACAAAACAGGCAGCGAGCTCAGAGCCCCATCAAGGGCCCCAGGAACCTGGCCAGGGCTGCAACTAAGCAGAGGTGCTGGGTCTGACTGATTGGCCTTGGCCTTGTCAACAAAGTTAGCTCTGTCTTGTGACACCTTTGTTTTTGCAGGGGAAGGAAAGATACAACTTCCCCAACCCAAACCCGTTTGTGGAGGACGACATGGATAAGAATGAAATCGCCTCTGTTGCGTACCGGTAGGTCACCTCTCTGGTGGGTATTGTGGCCAGACTGGAGCACGGGCCCCACTCTATAGAATCCCCAGTGACCACATGAGTTTCTTTTTTGCTGCAGTTACCGCAGGTGGAAGCTTGGAGATGATATTGACCTTATTGTCCGTTGTGAGCACGATGGCGTCATGACTGGAGCCAACGGGGAAGTGTCCTTCATCAACATCAAGACACTCAATGAGTGGGATTCCAGGGTGAGCCGCCATCTCCATCACCCTCCTGGTGACACCATGTCTCTATTCCCTACAGTGCCTGTTTACGCAGGCTAGGTTGTATAAACTGTTTCTTATCCCCTTTCGTTACTTATAGAGCTACCTGGATGTTTTTTTTTGTCTTGTGAGTTTTTTCCTCTGCTTAGTTCCTTGCTGAGAAAGAGCATGACTGTGTGTGTAGAACTATGTTAAGTGTTAAGAACTTTTCTGCTTATTTTTTACGCAGGAACCAGTTAACTCCCTTCTTCCAGTACTTTCTTCATCTCTGTTCCATTGTGGCCTCCTGTTGACTTCTGCTCCCTGAGCATCTGATTTTTTCCTCTCCTTATTATCTGGGTTGGCAGTTTTCCTGTAAGTCTGGCCGCTCTTCTTTTTGACCTCTTCTTTCATTGACTGAGCCACTGCCTTCAATCTTTTCACACATTTTTTGCAATTCCTCATTTCTTTAACTCATGGATTCTAAGATCTGGCTCAGAATTGACTCTTCAGAGGCACCTTGAAAGAAACATGCTTCCTTCACTTTTCCTCCTCTATTTCCACCCCACCCCTCCCAATCCGCCCCCCCGCCCACATCACCTGTTGAAAGAGCACACTGGAAGGTTTGCCGCTCTGGGGCCAGCGGCCTTTTCTTGGATTTTTCCTGGTGAGCTCCCCAAAGCATTCAGGGCCGTCGTGCCTGTGTCGTTTTGCCGTCTGTGTTACCGCGTTACTCTGGTCTCACCCGTTTCCCTGTTCCGTTTGCATGTCGTCTTTGCTGGCTCCCCTCCTTTTTGATCCCAGTGGAGTCACCTGGACAGCTCTCTTCGCCATACATACTTCTGTATTATATAACTTTGTATTAGTTTTCTTTCGCACCATAACAAATTAACAGAAACTTAATGACTTAATACCGATTTATGTATTTTACTTTTATTTTTTATTTTATTTTTCTGAAACGGAGTTTCGCTCTTGTTGCCCAGGCTGGAGTGCAACGGTGCGATCTCGGCTCACTGCAACCTCTACCTCCCGGGCTCAAGCGATTCTCCTGCCTCAGCCTCCCGAGTAGCTAGGATTATAGGCATGCACCACCACACCCAGCTAATTTTGTATTTTTAGTAGAGATGGGGTTTCTCCATGTTGGTCAGACTGGTCTTGAAGTCCCGGCCTCAGGTGATCTGCCTGCCTCGGCCTCCCAAAGTGCTGGGATTACAGGCGTGAGCCACAGCACCCGGCCTAACAATACCAATTTATTAGCTCACGGTTTTGTAGGTTAGAAGTCCAGTGCTGTGTGCTTGGTCCTTGTATTAGTCCATTGTCACACTGCTGTAAAGAAATGCCTGAGAGTGGGTGATTTATAAAGAAAAGAGGTTTAATTGGCTCACAGTTCTGCAGGCTCTAGAGGAAGCGTGGCTGAGGAGACCTCAGGAAACTTGCAATGGTGGCAGAAAGCAAAGGAGAAGCAGGCACATCATGGCCAGAGCAGGAGAAAGAGAGGGGGGAGGTTGGTATACACTTTTAAACAACCAGATCTCTTGAATACTCTTACCACAAGAATAGTGCCAAAGGGGGAAGTCTGCCCCCATGATCCAGTCACCTCCCACCATGCTCCTCCTCCAACATTGGAGTTTACAATTTGACATGCAGTTTGGGTGGGGCCACAAATCCAAACAAGGCAGAAATCATGGTGTCAATAGAAATAGAACTGAGTTCTCATCTGGAGGTTCTGAAAGAAAAGCCACTTCCAAGCCCATTCTTATTGTGGGTAAAGTTCATTTCCCTGCAGTTAGATGACTGAGGCCCCCATCCCCCTGCCAGTTGTCAGCTGGGAGCCTCTCTTGGCTCCTAGAGGCCACCTGCATTCCTTGTCACATGGCCCCCTCCATCTCCAAGATAGCAACAGCACATCAGATCCTTCTTGTGCTTCAGATCTCTGACTTCCTCCGTCTCCGACCTCTACACCTAGATTTAAGAGACTCATACGGTTGGGTGAGCCCAGCCAGGTAGTGTATATTAAGGTAAACTGATTTGCGGCCTTACATCTGCAAAATCCCTTTTGACATACAAGGTAGGATGATCATGGGGGTGATACTTGATCCTAGCCATAGGTTCTGCCCGTAGTCAAGGGGAGGAGACTCTGCAAGGGCAAGGGTCACTGGGGGTCATCTTAGAATTCTGCCCATCCCAGGCCTCAACCATGAACTCTTTGAAAATGATTTCTCAAATCTACTCTGATTTATTATACTTCCCATTGTTTTTCTGCTAAAACACCTTCCCCTTCCATGTGTCCCCAGTCCCGTCATTGCCTCTGGGCCAGCTGTCCATCAGCATTGTCTTTCTTCCACCTAAGCTCTGAGCCTCCAACATCTCCAACTTCTTTTTTACATTATTCTGTTTTGCTGTTAGCAAAATAGAAGGCTTTGCTGTCTTCTGAATCTGTCCTGGATTTCACTGATAATTGCCCTAGTTCAGGGCCCCATTTCATCATGCCTGTTTGACATTTGTCTCCTAACTGATTTCTCTACCTCCACCCAACTTCTATATTTGATTTATCTCCGCCAGTCAATTGTCCAATACACGCTTCATCAGCAGTGCAGATTGGGAGAAGAATTCTAACATGCCCCAGCAAGCTGTATGCAGTAGTATGCACCTATAGTCCTAGCTACTCAGGAGCCTGAGGTGGGAGAATCGCTTGGGTTCATGAGTTCAAATCCTGAACTCACCAGCTTGGGCAACATAGTGAGACCCCATCTCCAAAAAATGTGCCACAGCAAACTCACAGGAGTGCTGCAGGATATTTTAAATTTTTTAGGGAAACACAGAGACATCTTGTCAGAATACTAATACATGGTTTGACCCTAACTAAATAAAAGGAATTCTTGGCCGGGCACGGTGGCTCACGCCTGTAATCCCAGCACTTTGGGAGGCCGGGGCGAGTGGATCACCTGAGGTCAGGAGTTCGAGACCAGCCTGGCCAACATGATGAAACCCCGTATCTACCAAAAATACAAAAATTGGCTGGACATGGTGGCGGGCACCTGTAATCCCAACTACTAGGGAGGCTGAGGTAGGAGAATCACTTGAACCCGGGAGGCGGAGGTTGCAGTGAGCCAAGATCGTGCCACTGCACTCCACCCTGGGCAACAAGAGCAAAACTCCGTCTCAAAAAAAAAAAGAAAAAAAATTTAAAAGAAATTCTTGAGTATTTCTTTTGCCCTGTGTTTGCCATGAACCAAGAAAGTTTGGGAACCTCTGTCATGTGACCTTTGACCAGTCATTTCACTCTGGGTCCAACTTCCCACGTCTACAAATGATATGGGTAGAAAAGAGGATCTCTCTGGGGTCCTTTTCTACTGTGTGTGCATTTATGTAAAATGTCAGACTCAGCTTTGCACCCACTGCAGGCTTCCACCCCCATCTAAGGCCAACTCTGCCTGTCTTTCCTATCCCACCATGCCTCTCAGATCAAGACCTCCTGGCTACACCTGCACTTGAGCCAATATTCTCCACTTGGCTCACTGTTACACGTCCTCTGTGAAGCCCTTCCTTACCACGCAACACATAGTAAACACTTGGCTCTGCTGTTTATATGACACTTCTAAAGTGTGTGTGTGTGTGTGTGTGTCCGTGTGTGTCCATCCATCATTCCCTGTCTAGGCGAGCTTTTAGAAGAGAGGAATTGTAAGTCGTTGAGTGACTGCTGTGCGGCAGGCTGTGCAAGGGAAGGGACTATGTCTTTGTCTCTTAAATGGTAAGATTTAGTGCGTACCTACCCACTTTCTAAGCAAGCAGACTAGGGAGTTCCTTCTCTGCCAGAGGAGGTCCCAGCACCTTGGGCATTTGGAGCTTGCTTCTGTTTCTCTAACGGGGCTCTCCTGCAGCACTGTAATGGCGTTGACTGGCGTCAGAAGCTGGACTCTCAGCGAGGGGCTGTCATTGCCACGGAGCTGAAGAACAACAGCTACAAGTTGGCCCGGTGGACCTGCTGTGCTTTGCTGGCTGGATCTGAGTACCTCAAGCTTGGGTGAGATTCCTGTGCAGGAGCTGGCAGCTGATCTTGTGAAAGGAAGGGTCTGGGTAGGGAGGTTGACCCTCCCCTCCCCGTGTACTGGACAATTGACTGGCAGAGATAAATCCAGGGGTGGGGTAGAGATGGAGGGGTCAGTTAGGAGACAAATGCCAAACAGCAGGCATGCTGAATGGAGTCCTGAACTAGGGCAATGGTGTCAATGAAATCCAGAACTGAGAACTCAGAAGACGATGTTTTCCCTTTCCCTTGAAAATAGCAGTGGACTGCCGGGCGCGGTGGCTCATGCCTGTAATCCTAGCACTTTGGGAGGCCCAGGCTGGCAGATCACGAGGTCAGGAGATCAAGACCATCCTGGCTAACACGATGAAACCCTGTCTCAACTAAAAATACAAAAAATTAGCCGGGCGTAGTGGCGGGCGCCTGTAGCCCCAGCTACTCAGGGGGCTGAGGCAGGAGAATGGTGTGAACCCGGGAGGCGGAGCTTGCAGTGAGCCAAGATGGCGCCACTGCACTCCAGCCTGGGCAACAGAGCCAGACTCCGTCTCAAAAAAAAAAAAAAGAAAAAATAGCAGTGGACCAGGTATCACCATTTAATTGACATTTGATCCCAAGTGTTGCTGTCTCTGTGCTGCCCTGCTCTGACCACTGATATCCCTTCCCCTGTTAGTTATGTGTCTCGGTACCACGTGAAAGACTCCTCACGCCACGTCATCCTAGGCACCCAGCAGTTCAAGCCTAATGAGTTTGCCAGCCAGATCAACCTGAGCGTGGAGAATGCCTGGGGCATTTTACGCTGCGTCATTGACATCTGCATGAAGCTGGAGGAGGGCAAATACCTCATCCTCAAGGACCCCAACAAGCAGGTCATCCGTGTCTACAGCCTCCCTGATGGCACCTTCAGCTCTGATGAAGATGAGGAGGAAGAGGAGGAGGAAGAAGAGGAAGAAGAAGGTGTGTAGCAGCCCACTTTCTGAGGTCTAGAGTGATCTGTGGGCTAGCACGGGAGCAAGCTCTGTAGCCATTGTGATCTTTAACCTTGATAAAACTTCGAGAATTCCCTGAGACTTAAGTATGAAGAAGCATTCACTTTGGCTCCAAGAGCTTCTTCTAGAGCCTTTAGATCACATCAAGTGGTTGGGGAGGATAGCGGTGTTTTAGAGAAGCGGCTGGACTGTGGCAGAGGTAGAGGAAGATGAGGGAAGTCCCAGATTGAAGCCGGTGGTCTAGAGGGAAAAGCTCCGCTCCGGGTTAAATAGCCTGAAAGTTGTCTCTCCTGCTCCACCAGCTGGTGACTGAAGGAAATACCTGCCCAGCCCTGTGAGCATCTGAAAGGCTTAACTTCGGAATGGAAGTGTTGAAAACTCACGCACAGTCCAGCAGAGGTTCAGAAAGGAAAGTGAACATCATATCACACAACCTGGCTCATTTCTCTTACATTTTTTGTGTCTTTCAGAGGAAGAAACTTAAACCAGTGATGTGGAGCTGGAGTTTGTCCTTCCACCGAGACTACGAGGGCCTTTGATGCTTAGTGGAATGTGTGTCTAACTTGCTCTCTGACATTTAGCAGATGAAATAAAATATATATCTGTTTAGTCTTTCCCTCATCGTCTGCCTGCATTAACGATTTACAGTCGTTTCTTCAAAGATTCCTGACAGAGTGGGGATGAGATTCAGCAATTTCTATGTGGAATTCAGAATCTGGGTGTCCTCATTTGTTATAAGAAGTCCATTTCCACAAGCATGAGTGCCTGCTGGCTGTGTGAAGGGCCACCTGTTGCTTTTGGAGAGTTCACTGTGAGGAGCTGGAGTGCAGAGCACTAGTACAGCGTGAAGCAGGGTGTGGGTGAGGTGGGGCTGCTGCGCCTGAGGGAGGCTGCCACAGAGAGCTTGATGGATGTCCCACTGGGTGATTGTGTAATGGTTTATGAATTGTTTTTAAGCTTGGCTTGGGCTGGTGACACTCAGGCCTGTCCCTACAAAGCATTGTGTCATAAGAGCTCTGCATGTTGAGGATATGTAAACTTTTTTTTTTTTTTTTTTTTTTTTTGAGACGGAATCTCACTTTGTTGCCCAGGCTGGAGTGCAGTAGCATGATCTCGGCTCACTGCAACCTCCACCTCCCAGGTTCAAGCGATCCTCCTGCCTCAGCCCCCCAGTAGCTGGGATTACAGGCATGCACCACCATGCCTGGCTAATTTTTGTATTTTTAGTAGAGACGGGGTTTCGCCATATGGGTCAGGATGGTCTCGAACTCCTGACCTCAGGTGATCTACCCGCCTTGGCCTCCCAAAGTGCTGAGATTACAGGCGTGAGCCACCGCACCCAGCCGAGGCTATGTAAACTATGTAAGTGGACACTGTTCTGTTCTGGACACTTGATGGAGTAATTACCCTGCCAGGTATTAATGCTGAGCTTTCTGTAGTATCTAAGCCTCATACAGAACTGTGATGCTGGCAGGAGTAGTACCATTGTAGAGGTGAGGAAACAGGCATGGTGGCTCAAACCTCTAATCCCAACACTTTGAGAGGCTGAGGCAGAAGGATCACTTTAGCCTAGAAGTTTGAGACCAGCCTGGGCAACACAGGGAGACCAGGGCCTGTCTCTGCAAAAAAATAAATTATTAGCCAGTCATGATGCTTCCACCTGTGGTCCCAGCTACTCAGGAGGCTGAGGTGGGAGGATTGCTTGAGCCCAGGAGTTCAAGGCTGCAGTGAGCTATGATCACACCACTGCACTCCAGCCTAAGTGACAGAAGGAGACCCTTTATCAAAAAAAAAAAGGCCAGGTGCAGTGGCTCATGCCTGTAATCCCAGCACTTTGGGAGGCCGAGGTGGGTGGATCACTTGAGGTCAGGAGTTCAAAACCAGCCTGAGCAACATAGCAAAACCCCGTCTCTACTAAAAATACAAAACAGCCAGGCATGGTGGCACACGCCTGTAATTCCAGCTACTTGGGAGGCTGAGGCTGGAGATTCACTCGAACCCAGGAGGCGGAGGTTGCAGTGAACTGAGATCACACCACTGCACTCCAATTTGGATTACAGAGACTCTCAAAAAAAGCTCAGCATTTCTAAAGTTACAGGTTTTTTTTTTAAAGTAGCTTGAAAAAACACAAAATTAATTTTAATGAATCGAACCTCAGCAAGCAAAAGGTTTCTTGAACTGTGTTAGAAGCAGTGGAGAGAAAAAGTGTACTTGGGGAGTTTTCAATGTGAATACAGAGTGTTAAAAAACAGATTAAAGTGGTGTGACTAGTGCCGGGGGTTTCCAGGTTGGACCAGTATTCACCAAATTGCCTCTTGCAAACCATGGCCCTGTCCAACAGGATTAACAGAAGCAAGTGGAAGTGACTCAAGCTCATTCCCTGAAAATACTTTGCATCAGTTTCCACTGCCTTTTTTTTTTTTTTTTTTTTTTTTGAGACGGAGTCTTGCTCTGTTGCCCAGGCTGGAGTGCAGTGGCGCAATCTCAGGCACTGTAAGCTCCGCCTCCTGGGTTCACGCCATTCTCCTGCCTCAGCCTCCCGAGTAGCTGTCCACTGCTTTTATCTGTCCTGCATGGGGCTACCAAGTTGACTGCTGCAGTAATCCTACATTCAGAAACTCCCAGTAGCATCCTGTTGCTTACAATCTAGGTTCAGCCTACTCGTAGGGCCCTACCATACTTGACGAATTCTGTTTAATTTCCCACTACTGTATTCACCACATAAGACCAGCAATTATTTTAGGAACTTGTTTGCCAGCACCCATTCTCATAATCTTCACAACCACTAAGAAACAGACATCCCCAAATTGCATGACTATCAAAACATCTCATATGCCCCATAAATATATACACATATGCCCCCAAAAATTTTTTTGAAAAATTGGCCAGGGGCCATGGCACACACTTGTAATCCCTAGCACTTTGGGAGGCTGAAGCAGGATCGCTTGAGCCTGGAAGGTCAGGGCTGCAGTGAGCCATGATTGTGTCACTGCACTCCAGCCTGGGTGACAGTGAGACTCTGTCTCAAAAAGAAGAAATAAGACATCCCTACTTTATTTTTGGCAAAGTATTCTGCCTGACCTCTCTGGTTGCAATGCTTATTCAACAAATGCTTAAACTTCCGTATGTCAGATACTGGACAATTTCTGCTCTGAGGGAGCTTTTCTCTGATGTTGACACAGACTGAAGAAAGTAAATGACATTCGGCCAGGCGCGGTGGCTCACGCCTGTAATCCCAGCACTTTGGGAGGCCGAGGCGGGCGGATCACGAGGTCAGGAGATCGAGACCATCCTGGCTAACACAGTGAAACCCTGTCTCTACTAAAAATACAAAAAATTAGCCGGGTGTGGTGGCGGGCACCTGTAGTCCCAGCTACTAGGGAGGCTGGGGCAGAAAAATGGCGTGAACCTGGGAGGTGGAGCTTGCAGTGAGCCGAGATCACGCCACTGCACTCCAGCCTGGGCGACAGAGTGAGACTCCATCTCAAAAAAAAAAAAAAAAGAAAAAGTAAATGACATTCTTTGGTAGGTACTTGTAGGCCTGAGAGGTCAGGAAAATTTTTCTAAGGAGTCCCCAGCTACGATTTTTAATTCAAAGAATCTCCAGCCATGCAAATCTGCAGGCTCGCAGTTCTTTCCACCTGCCCTTCCCCCAAGAACACTCAGCCCCATTTCACTGGACTTTGAAGGTTCCTACACTGACTTCGTATTTCTCCCCATGTAAATCTCATGCAGGGGCCACTTGCCACCCCTGGGAAGCCAACCTTCATCATCCAGTTCACGTTATCTTCCTCCTGCCATTTATCTTGCCTCCACTGAGTTTTAATTCCAGGCTCCACTTCCTGTGATTGTAAACATATCCCTTCATCCCTATGTCTCCATTTGACCAGTCAGCTACCAAATGTCGGAAACAATGCCTTGCCCACCTCTCCTATTTGGTGGAAGATTAGGACAGTCGTGTATGTTACTTGGTAAGCAGTACACTGAGTCACTGTAGCAAACGCTTGTTAATTGGCTTATCGGTCCTGGCTCCACCACGCTGGTTTCCAGTCCCACAAAACTGGGTAGGCCAACTAGTTTTAGCGTTTGGCTACATTCATGGAATATGAGAGCTAGGATTAGCTCCAAAAATCACGTGCTCCCCTCCCTCCGTGTAGAGAGGCACCTTTTAAAACGAAGGACCCAGTTCCCCATCCCGGATCTCCAGACCTTCCACCCTCGCGGGTGCGCGCTAGCCCCAGGCCCCTCTACCAGCCCCCGGAGCAGCGAACGCAGCACGCGCGCGCCTCTCCCGCGCTGGGCCGGAGCAGGCAGCCTGCCAGCTGGTCCCGGCGTGCCGCGCGCCGCGCACGTGACCCCGCCCCCTGCCATTGGTCCGGGCGCGAGGGGCGGAGCCGCCGCGGAGCAAGCGAGCCAAGCGCGGCCTCATTAGACCACGGGTTGCAGCCGGAGCGGCTGGGAGGTTCGCGCGTTTCTCAGGGTTCGGTCGGAGGCGGGGAGGCCGGAGCTGCGGGCGTAGGGACCTGGCGGCTCCTGAAGCGCACGCGGGCGGGCGGCAGGTGTGCGCGGCATCCCTGTCACGTGGCCGAAGAGCCTGGGGCGCGCGGACCCTGGCAGGGGGCGGGGCGCACGCAGGCCACACCCACTTCAGGCTCCCACCCGGTCGCTGGAGAGGGGCCAAGGCCTCTGGAAGGTCCAACCTGGAGGGTGGTTCAAAGGGGTGTTGGGCACCCTCAAATTAGGGGAAAATTGGGGAGTACGCTCTCCTTCCCCAGGGTGGAGGTTACTACAATCATAAGCGGGGAGCCGGTGCCCCTGAGGAAGGAGACCCTGAGGGAGATAAGATGGAGGGGCTCGGGATTCCGGGGAGCCCCAAGTCCCAGCTTGAAACGGTGGAGTCCGGGCAAATGAGCTCTGAGGACGGCTTCTGGGCCTGGCCGTGACCCAGATTGCAGTGAGAGTTCCCGCAGGCCCCGCCTCTTTCTGGGCCTCGTGTCTCCCAGCCGCCGGGCCGGGTGCGAGGCCTTACCCCTCTGATCTGCTGCAGGATGGGCCTCTCCGCTGCGGCCCCGTTGTGGGGTCCCCCGGGGCTGCTCCTGGCCATCGCCCTGCACCCAGCGCTGTCGGTGCCCCCGCGCCGGGACTACTGCGTGCTGGGCGCTGGGCCCGCGGGCCTGCAGATGGCCTACTTCCTGCAGCGCGCTGGACGCGACTACGCAGTGTTCGAGCGGGCCCCGCGGCCCGGCAGCTTCTTCACACGCTACCCGCGGCACCGCAAGCTCATCAGCATCAACAAGCGGTACACGGGCAAGGCTAACGCCGAGTTCAACCTCCGCCACGACTGGAACTCTCTGCTCAGCCACGACCCCCGGCTGCTCTTCAGACACTACTCGCGTGCCTACTTCCCCGACGCCCGCGACATGGTGCGCTACCTGGGTGACTTCGCGGACACGCTGGGGCTCCGTGTCCAGTACAACACCACCATCGCCCACGTCACTCTGGACAAGGACCGACAGGCCTGGAATGGCCACTACTTCATCCTAACTGACCAGAAGGGCCAGGTGCATCAGTGCAGGTAAGGCCGGTGCCAGAGCTCACCTGCGGAAGCTGGGACCTTCCCCACACGAACCACACACCTTGATTGGCCAGTAGGTATGGGAGGAATGGACGAAAAAGGGTATTTCGCTTTTTTTTTTTTTTAAGACGGAGTCTCACTCTGTCGCCCAGGCTGGAGTGCAATGGCACGAGGTCAGCTCACTGCAACCTCCGCCTCTCTAGTTCAAGCGATTCTCCTGCCTCAGCCTCCCCAGTAGCTGGGATTACAGGCAAGCACCACCACACCCGGCTAATTTTTTTATATTTTTGGTGGAGATGAGATTTCACGACGTTGGCCAGGCTGGTCTCGAACTCCTGACCTCAGGAGATCCACCCACCTCAGCCTCCCCAAATGCTGGGATTACAGGTATGAGCCACCGCACCCGGCCTTCAATTCTATTTTTGAAACCACTCTGTGATCAAAGCATTCTTCTGCAAGCCGGCAGGATCCAAGTCCCCAGCTGCCCTCCCCTGGATGGCGATCCTCACCAATGGAAGGAGCAGGACTTTGGAATCAAGCCTATCTGTGTTTAGACTCTGGCTCTGCTGCTTTTAGGAGCTCTCAAGCCATGGGCCTGCAGGGCCTGTGCCTCCTCACCTGTAAAGCAGGCCACATACCACCTCCAGGTTGCTTGGAGGAGTCAGAAAGATGGTGCACAGATACACTTAGTACAGGGCCTGGTACAGAATTACTGCTCAGTGGATAGATGTATCTGTCAGAGGACTCAGAAAGGGGAAAGTAGAATGTCAGGTTTCATTTCATCACCAGCAGTCATACCTGGTCTGACTGCTATGTGCAAAGTTAGGTGAATTCTCCATTTCTCATACTGTCATCTTCTCCTCTCTCACAGGGCAAATTTAACCCCCAGTACAGTGCTAGGGAAAATACTGTGAGCTCAGGGAGAGGCAAGGGCAGAGCCTCTCAAGTGCACTGGGATGAGGGCGTAAACAGATGAATGAATGAAAAATGAATGAATGAATGTCCTATTTTCTTTTAGGGGCCGGCGGTTGGAGCCAGGCAGGTGGGTGGGTGGGTCCAGGGAGTGGTTTTCACTTAGTGGTCTTATAGCTAAGAGACTAAGCCATCTTTCCTCTGTCCCCGCCTGCAGCGTCCTCTTTGTAGCCACTGGTTTATCAGTCCCCAACCAGGTTGACTTCCCTGGCTCCGAATATGCAGAGGGTTACGAGTCCGTGTCCGTGGACCCTGAGGACTTTGTAGGCCAGAATGTGCTGATCCTGGGTCGTGGGAACTCGGCCTTTGAGACAGCAGAGAACATCTTGGGTGTCACAAACTTTATCCATATGCTCAGCCGCTCCCGGGTCCGTCTGTCCTGGGCCACCCACTACGTTGGAGACCTCAGGTAGGCCACATCCCCGCATGTGTGTTCTGTGCTGGGAGCCCAGAGTGTGGAAAGAGCCTCCCCAACCCTCCCCTGCCCTTCCTGACCCCAGCTGCACTGCCCAGCTTTCCTCTGAGTCTCTCTCCCCTGCATTCTCTGTGGGCTCAGAGCCATCAACAATGGCCTGCTGGATACCTACCAGCTCAAGTCCCTGGACGGGCTGCTCGAGTCTGACCTGACGGATCTGGCCATCCTGAAGGACAGCAAAGGCAAGTTCCATGTCACCCCGAAATTCTTCCTGGAAGAAGCCAACACCAACCAGAGTGCCGACTCCATCACCCTCCCCCAGGACGACAATGACAACTTTGCCATGCGCGTGCCCTATGACCGGGTAATCCGCTGCCTGGGCTGGAACTTTGACTTCTCCATTTTCAATAAGTGAGTTCCATGCGGAAGGAGGTGGGCTCTCCTAGCAAACCCTCCTGACCCCTCCCTAGGGGAACAGGGTGGCTGTTCAGTAGGCTGGCGACAGAGCTCTCAGGACAGCACCCAAAGAATGGATGTGAGTGCTGCCTGATTTCCCTCCAGGACATGAGCTCTGACCATTGAGGGTCCCAGGTGGCCCTGAGGCCCTTGGTCCTGGAGCAACACCAGCAGATCTTCATCAGCATTGGGAGCCTCCACCTGTGAGTTGGAAAGGCCGGCTCAGAGAGAATACAGAGGGGAATTTGCTCGAAGGCAATATAGCGTAGTGGCTGAGAGCACAGGTGCCGGAATTGTCCTGAGATTCTCTGCTTGCCAAATCTGTGACCTCGGCGGAAGTTATTTAACCACGCTGTGGCCCAGTATTCTCATGTCTAAAATGGGATTCAAAGTTTGTTTCTCATATGGTTATTGCGAGGATTAACATAAGAATATGCTTGGAGGCTGGGTGCGGTGGCTCACACCTGTAATCCCAGCACTTAGGGAGGCCGAGACAGGTGGATCACTTGAGGTTAGGAGTTCGAGACCAGCCTGGCCAACATGGTGAAACCCCATCTCTACTAAAAATACAAAAATTTAACCAAGCGTGGTGGTGGGTGCCTGTAATCCCAGCTACTCAGGAGGCTGAGGTGGGAGAATTGCTGGAACCTGGGAAGCAGAAGTTGCAGTGAGCCGAGATCACACCACTGCACTCCAGCCTGGGTGACGAGACTCTTATCTCAAAAAAAAAAAAAAAGAAAGAAGAATGTGTGCAGAGGCCAGGTGCAGTGGCTCATGGTCTCACACCTATAATCCCAGCACTTTGGGAGGCCAAGGCAGGCATACTACTTCAGCTCAGGAGTTCAAGACTAGCCTGGACAACATGGTGAAACCCCACCTCTACAAAAAATACAAAAATTAGCCAGGTGTGTTGGCACATGCCTGTGGTCCCAGCTACTCAGGAGGCCAAGGTGGGAGGACTACTTGAGCCCAGGAGGTCGAGGCTGTGGTGAACTAAGATCATGCCTCTGCATTCCAGCCTGGGCAACAGAGTGAGACCCTGTCTCAAAAAAAAAAAGAGATGGCTGGTCACAGTAGCTCATGCTGTAATCCCAGCACTTTGGGAGGCTGAGGTGGGCGGATCACAAGGTTAGGAGTTCAAGACCAGCCTGACCAATGTAGCGAAACCCCGTCTCTACCAAAAATACAAAAAATTAGCCAGGCATGGTGGCACGTGCCGGTAATCCCAGCTACTCGGGAGGCTGAGGCAAGAGAATCGCCTGAACCTGGGAGGTGGAGGTTGCAGTGAGCCGAGATCGCGCCATTGTGGACTCCAGCCCAGGCGACAGTGCAAGATCTCCATCTCAAAAACAAAAAAAGAGAGAGGAGAGAAGGAAGGAGAGAGAGGGGAGAAAGAAAGGAAAGAAAGTGCTGGGAGCTAGGTGCAGTGATGAGTACCTAGCTACTCAGGAGGCTGAGGCAGGAGGATCACTGGAGCCCAGGAGGTCAAGGCTACAGTGTGCTATGATCATGCCTGTGAATAGCTGCTGCACTCCAACCTGGGCAACATAATGAGACCCTATCTCTTAAAATAAAGAAAGTACTTGGCATGTATTATGTGCTCAATAAAATGTTAGTTGCTTAAGTTATTTATCATTGTATTTTGAAGGGCTATTTTATGAAGCCTAGATTTTAAACATTGCTGCCGACTACCTCGGGAGGTTTGGTATCAAAGCAGCATCCAGTCTTTCACTTGTCTTCTGACCAGGGTGCAGAAAGACAAAGGAGAAGCTGGTGTGCCTGTCCAGACCCTCCTTTCCATCGGCCTCCCAAAGTGCTAGGATTACAGGCGTGAGCCACTGTGCCTGGCCTGACTTCATTGTTTGTTTGTTTGTTTGTTTGTTTGAGACAGAGTCTTACTCTGTTGCCCAGGCTGGAGTGCAATGGCATAATCTCGGCTCACTGCAACCTCTGCCTCCTAGGTTCAAGCGATTCTCCTGCCTCAGTCTCCTGAGTAGCTGAGATTACAGCCATTGCACCACCACCCCCAGCTAACTCTTTTTGTATTTTTTCATAGCGACAGGGTTTCACTGTGTTGGCCAGGCTGGTCTCGAACTCCTGACCTTGTGACTCGCCCGCCTCGGCCTACCAAAGTGCTGGGATTACAGGCGTGAGCCACCTCGCCTGGCCGACTTCATCTCTTAAATGGAGATGATAATACCCACCTCCTGGGGTCATGGTGAGGTTTAAATGAGACGAGAAATCTAAGGCACTCAGTGCCAGTAATAAGTGCCACTGTAATAAGTGCCTCCTGGCTGGGTGCAGTGGCTCGCGCTTGTAATCCCAGCACTTTGGGAGGCCAAGGCAGACAGATCACCTAAGGTCAGGACATCGAGACCAGGCTGGCTAACGTGGTGAAACCTGGTCTCTACTAAAAATACAAAAATTAGCTGGGCATGGTGGCAGGAGCCTATAATCCCAGCTACTCGGGAGGCTCAGGCAGGATAATAGTTTGAACCCAGGAGGCAGAGGTTGCAGTGAGCCGAGATCACGCCATTGTACTCTAACCTGGGCGACAAGAGCGAAACTCCATCTCAAAACTAACTAAATAAATAAGTGCCTCTTACATAGCAGCTATTTTCATGAACAGCCCTTTCCACTGACAGGTCCCTCAGACTTAACTCGGGAAATGCATTCGGCAAGAAGTACCCGCTGATTCGAGCTAGCTACGAATCCAAAGGAAGCCGGGGTCTGTTTATCCTGGGTACTGCCAGCCACTCGGTGGACTACCGGAAATCTGCTGGGGGCTTCATCCACGGATTCCGATACACAGGTGAGCCCAGCTGAGAAGGCAGAACTGTCCCCAGACGGAACCACTCTCAGCATCCCAGGGTTTATAAATCTACTCCTATGTCCAGAAGCATTAGGGGATTGCTTGTCAGTAGCTCATTGTCATAAATTGTCTTGGGGAAGTGACAACAGGTTTTTGTGGTCTGACGACATGTTTAGGAAAGTATCAGATAAAGTGTAAAAGTCCACGCCTGTAGTCCTAGCTACTTGGGAGGCTGAGGCAGGAGGATCCCTTGAGTCCAGGAAGTCAAGGTTGCAGTGAGCCATGATGATACCACTGCACTCCAGCCTGGGTGACAGAGCGAGACTTGGTCTCAAAAATAAAATAAAATTAAGTGTAGGCCAGGTGCAATGGCTCACGCCTGTAATCCTAGCACTTTGGGAGGCCAAGGCAGGTGGATTGCTTCAGGCCAGGAGTTCAAGACCAGCCTGGGCAACACGGCGAAACCCTGTCTCTACTAAAAATACAAAAATTAGCCAGGTGTGGTGGCGTGCGCCTGCAGTCCCAGCTACTCGGGAGGCTGAGGCAGGAGAATCACTTGAACCCAGGAGGTGGAGGTTGCGGTGAGCTGAGATCGCACCATTGCACTCCAGCCTGGGCAACAAGAGCAAAACTCCATCTCAAAAAAAAAAAAAAAAATGTAATTGGATTATATCAGTTCTTTTTCAAAACTCTCAGTACCAAGGGTATAAATTTTCTGCCAACTTGAGAATGTTTACAAAGAAAATACTAAAATATCTTTTAAAAACATAATTCTATTTATTGCACTAAAATAATCCCCAACCAAAAATTGATACTTGTGATTTTAGGAGTAAATGGGAAATAAAAAGGAAGTGAGAGAGATGAATTCACGCATGTTGGGTGACTTCAGTGGGCTGAGCACTGAACACACGACCCTGGCAGGGCCGCCAGCACCCCGAAAGGTGGGTGTGAAATCTCCATTTTCCTCAAGAGTGTAAAACTCTGAGGCTCAGAGTTTTGGTGATTTTCTCACCATTATGGGAATTAAACTCCAAGGCCCAGGAGCTTTCCTGAAAGACACTTTCTACAAAGGTCTTCTCTTCTTTCATAGAAAGCAAACTGGTGCCCTTTCTGTGGAGAGGAGTCTAAAATGTTAGATGTGGCCAGGCACGGTGGGTCACACCTGTCATCCCAGCACTTTGGTAGACTGAGGTGGGTGGATCACCTGAGGGCAGGAGTTCGAGACCAGCCTGGCCAGTATGGTGAAATCCCACCTCTACTTAAAATACAAAATTAGCCGGGCATGGTGGCGGGCGCCTGTAATCCCAACTACTCGGGATGCTGAGGCAAGAGAATCACTTGAACCTTGGAGGTGGAGGTTGCAGTGAGCCAAGCCCACACCATTGCACTCCAGCCTGGGCAAAAAGAGTGAAACTCTGTCTCAAAAATAAATAAATAAATAAAAATTAGATGTTCCTGCTCCTGTGGTTAACCTTCTGAGAAGGACAGGGTGTTGGTTGAAATTCACTCAGTGAGGCATACAGTATTCAGTTAGGTGGTTAGGTGAGTCTATTTGAAAGAATGGAGTCATAATCTTACAGCTGAGCTTTAAAAAATTAGTATTATTATTTTTTTTGAGACAGCGTCTCTTCCTGTTTCCCATGCTGGAGTACAATGGCGCCATCTCGGCTCACTGCAGCCTCGACTTCCCAGACTCAAGCCATCCTCCCACCTCAGCCTTCTGAGTGGCTGGGACTTCAGGCGTGCACCACCACACCCAGCTAATTTTGTTGTTTTTATTTTTGTGTGGTAGAGACAAGTTTTCGCCATGTTGCCCAGGCTGGTCTCAAACTCCCAAGCTCAAGCGATCCACCCACCTCAGCCTCCCAAAGTGTTGGGATTACAGGCATGAGCCACCATGCCTAGCCTGAGCATCAAAAATGTGAAAATGTAGGGAATTACGGGGAGTAATCTTTATATTCTGCCACTCAAAGACATTCAATATTTATATTTCTTTTTTCTTTTTAAAGACAGTAAGGCAGGCTGGGCGTAGTGGCTCATGCCTATAATCCCAGCATTTTGGGAGGCTGAGGCTGGCAGATCAGCTTAGGTCAGAAGTTCGAGACCAGCCTGACCAACATGGTGAAACCCCATCTCTACTAAAAATACAAAAATTAGCCAGGCTTGTAATCCCTACTACTTGGGAGGCTGAGGCAGGAGAATCACTTCAATCCAGGAAGCAGAGGTTGCAGTGAGCCAAGATCGTGCCACTGCGCTCCAGCCTGGGCATCAGAGTGAGACTCTGTCTCAAAAATCATAATACAAATGAAGACGGTAAGGTGGACTTTATTCCAGGTTAGAGGACTACAATAATAAGTGTAGGGACCACTGCAGAGGGGTCTTACAGTACGGGCAAAGGATTGGACTCAATTCTGGGAGTCGGTTCCTCCTGGAACCCAGGAGGCGGAGGTCGCGGTGAGCCGAGATCGCACCACTGCACTCCAGCCTGGGCAACAGAGCGAGACCCTGTCTCAAAAAAATAAAATAAAAAATATTTAAAAAAAGAACTTAGAGACAGATGGATTTAGGCTGTGAAAGAGAGGGCGAAATCAAAGATTTCTGTAGGCGCGTCTCTGATGGAAACAGAGCTGTGAAGGGGGGGAGGTTTCTGGGGAAGGCTCCGTGTTGGACTTGACGTTCCTTGTGTGAGGTGGGGCCGGTGGGACTCCCACGTGCAGATGGCCTGAAGCAGGGGCAGATGGACTCTGGCCTGGAGACCAACTCCAGCTGTGCTCACTCCTTTGCCTGTTGTCTTGGCCGCTTTTACACTAGGGGCAGAATTGAGCAGCATCACTGAGTCGTGTATGACCCACAAAGCAGAGAATATGGATTGTCTGGCCCTTTCCAGAAAATACCTGCTGGCCCTGCTCTAAAGGCAGCTGCCATCTCCTCCCCTCATGTGTTCACCACCTAGGCGTTTGCGCTGGGCCATGGAGACCAGTGTGTATGGCGTTCTCAGGGGTCAATGAGGCCTGGGCATCCCTCCCAGTGACCAGAGATAAAATGGTAAGTGCAGCGTGCCGTTCCTCCCTCTGGCTGTTCCAGTGCGTGCTGTTCACCGGCTCCTGGAGCACCGCCACCACAGCGTCACCTGGCCCGCCACTGAGCTCCCCATCACACAGCTGACCAGCTCCATCGTGCGGCGCGTGAATGAGGCTTCTGGGCTCTACCAGATGTTCGGTGTGCTGGCCGATGTCATCCTGTTGAAGGAGTGAGTAGCCCGTCCCCACCCTACTCCCCTCGGCCCAGCTTTCCCGACGTGCTGCATAGCGCTTCTCTTCCTATTCCAGGTGTGAGGTGCCCAGTTCTTTCCTAAGATGAAGGCTGCTGTGGGGAACATGCCTGTTCTGGGGAAAAACAATGACATTAACTCTACAGACAGTCCTGTGAGTGGCCACGGGCACATTAGTGAGCCTCTCTGAGCCCTTCTTCCTCATCTGCAAAATGGGGATAATTGTGCCTACCTTGCAGCAGTAAAGGAAGGAGTAAAGGTCACTTGTGGAAAGTGTTTGGCATCACGTGGATGAGCAGTAGTCAGAGGCAGCCACGTGGATCTCAGAGCTCCCTCAGGCCAGGGCCTTGCCGGCCACCATCGTCAGAGTCAATTTAGTGATAAGCAGCAGATCCCAGAGGATGGACAGTTCCTGAGAAGGAAACGGTGCAGAGCACAGAGGGGTGAGGGGCGGGGGGAGACAGGTGGCAGGGAGAAGCAAGGGAGCAACCTTCAGTCAGAGGGAACAGCCCGATCCAAAGGCAGGGCGTGCTATAGCACACCAAGTTCAGGGACATGCAGGTAGTGCAGCCGCTTTCTGCACAAAACCCTCGCATCACCCTCCATGCCCCTGCCCCTCTTTTTTTTTTCTTGAGACAGTCTCGCTCTGTCATCCAGGCTGGAGTGCAGTGGTGCGATCTCTGCTCGCTGCAACATCTGCCTCCTGGGTTCAAGCACTTCTCCTGCCTCAGCCTCCTAAGTAGCTGGGATTACAGGCACCCACCACCATGCCTGGCTAATTTTTTTTTTTGACTCAGAGTCTCACTATGTCTTGCCCAGGCTGGAGTGCAGTGGTGCGATCTTGGCTCACTGCAGCCCACCTCCCAGGTTCAAGCGATTCTCGTGTCTCAGCCTCCCGAGTAGCTGGGATTACAGGCCCATGCCACCACACCTGGCTAATTTTGTATTTTTAGTAGAGACTAGGTTTCACCATGTTGGCTAGGCTGGTCTCAAACTCCTGACCTCAGGTGATCCACCCGCCTTGGTCTCCCAAAGTGCTGAGATTACAGGCGTGAGTCAGCACGCCTGGCACCCCTGTCTCAACACCCCACATGCAAACCATGGGCAAGTCTTGTCACCTCTGCCTTCAGATGATGTCTGGAGCCCAACCAGCTCTCACCTGCTCTACCACCACCACCTCGGTCCCGATCACCAGGCTGTATCACCTGCACCCATACAACAGCCGCCCCACTTGGCCTGGCGTCTGTTCTCAGCACAGTAACCAGAGTGGTCCTTAGAAACCTGAGGCATGCTGATCCCAGCTCTGCTCAGTCCTCCCAAGCAACCAGCAGTGTCACCTCTCGGGCCAGACGACTCCTCACGTCTCGTCATGGGAGGCGCAGCCCTCCTTGACCTCTCAAGGCCTCCGGCCCCCTCTCCTGCCCTCTGCCTGCTGTTCACTCCCCTCAGCCACGTCGGCCTCTTCTGTTCCTTGAACACAAAGTGCTCACATACTCCTCAGGGCTTTTTCCTGACTGTTCTCTCTGCCTGGGACACTCTTTCCCCAGATATCCCATTCAGGTTACATGGAATTTTCTGGTCTCTACCCCACATGTGCGTGAGAGCTGAGCTGAAAAAGTAATGTTAAGTGAGGGGTGTGCTGCTTGATTGACGCTCCTTAGAGGGGGAGATACACACGCACACACACATGCTCACCCCCGGGCTGCACCCCTCACCTCTGCCACAGCACTGAGGGCCTCCCCCGCGTTGCTGTTCTCCCAGGAATTCCACGGCCTTTGAGTACCTGGAGGAGTTCCCCATACAGATGCTGGCCCAGCTGGAGACACTCACAGGGAGGAAGGCAAAGCACGGGCTCTTCGTCATCAACATGGAATATGGCAGAAATTTCTCTGGCCCCGACAAGGACGTCTTCTTTGATGACCGGTCTGTGGGGCACACAGAAGATGCCTGGCAGTCTAACTTTCTTCATCCTGTCATCTACTACTATAGATACCTCCCCACCGGTGAGCAGGTCTCTGCCCTTCCCCAACCTGTGGGCTCCTCAGACCTCACCGTCTGCAAGGTTGTCACCCACCCTGAAACCTTCACACACATGCTCAGCTGACAGGTGGGATGGCTGCGGGACTCTGCCTAGAGACCACTTGGGCAGAAGGTCCGAGAATGATGAACGATGCTTCCAGATTCTGACACATACCGTGACTGGCACAGGCCATGCGGGGGGTGTCGTGCTCTCCGCCAGGCACTGTGTAGTAAGAGGGACACGGCCCTGCTGCAGGTCTCCAGAGGCGGCTGACTGTGGTGGGGCGGGAGGGGTCTGAAGAGTAGAGGGAACTGGAGCTGGTTAACACAGTACAGAGAAACTGGGCAAAATCCCTAGGCCTGTCATTTTGTCACTGTGTGACCTTGGACCATTACTTAACCTCTCTGAGCCTCAACCTCCCCTCTGTAAAATGGGGATTACAACAGTACCTTTCTTGTAGGGTTCCATGAGGTTAAACCTGACAGTGTACACAGAATGCCAGCCCACTGCAGGCACAGAGTAGCTACCAATAAGTGAACAACCTCGGGAACGCACCCCCTGCTTCAGAGCTTGAAGGGCAGTCAGGTAGAAGAGGGTGGTTTAAACAGGGGTTGTTCCCAAAGGCAGAAGTCGTGTCAGCAGGTAGCAGTGACGGGTGCAGGTCTGTGGTCAGTATAAGGAGGCACTAAGAGGCTGGGCATGGTGGCTCATGACTGTAATCCCAGCACTTTGAGAGACCAAGGCAAGCGGATTATAAGGTCAGGAGTTCAAGACCAGCCTGGCCAAAATGGTGAAACCCCATCTCTAAAAAAACATGAAAAAAATGCAAAAATTAGCTGGGCATGGTGGCACATGCCTGTAATCCCAGCTATTCAGGAGGCTGAGGCAGGAGAATTGCTTGAACCGGGATCCGGGAGGCAGAGGTTGCAGTGAGCCGAGATTGTACCACTGCACTCCAGCCTGGGCTACAGAGCAAGACTCTGTCTCAAAAAAAACAAACAAACAAACAAAAAGGCCGGGCGCGGTCGCTCACGCCTGTAATCCCAGCATTTTGGGAGGCCGAGGCGGGCGGATCACGAGGTCAGGAGGTCGAGACCATCCTGGCCGACATAGTGAAACCCCGTCTCTAATAAAAATACAAAAATTAGCCAGCGTGGTGGCGTGCGCCTGTAGTCCCAGCTACTAGGGAGGCTGAGGCAGGAGAATCGCTTGAACCCAGGAGGCAGAGGCTGCAGTGAGCCAAGATTGTGCCACTGCACTCTAGCCTGGGAGACAGAGCGAGACTCTGTCTCAAAAAAAAAGAAAAAGGAGGCACTAAGAGTTAAAGCTGTTCAGTGGGGGAATTGGTCACCTCCAAATTCAGGTTTCCCAGAATAGCGACGGCCAAGTCTTGACTCGATGGCCATCTGACTGGAACACCACAGAAGGGAGCCCACACCAGGGAGAAGCTGAACTAGATGAGTGCTGAGACCCCTCGCCTCTATCTGAGTCTTCTCAGAGAAAGGCCAGTTTGAAAGCAGCCACAGCCAGGCGCAGTGGCTCATGCCTGTAATCCCAGCACTTTGGGAGGCTGAGGCGGGTGGGTCACCTGAGGTCAGGAGTTTGAGACCAGCCTGGCCAACATGGTAGAGACTAGAAACCCCATCTCTACGAAAAATGTAAAATATGAGCTCGGTGTGGTGGCGGGCACCTGTAATCCCAGCTACTCTGGAGGCAGAGGCACAAGAATCGCTTGAACCCAGGAGGTAGAGGTTGCGGTGAGCCTAAATTGTGCCACTGCATGACAGCCTGGGCAATAGAGCGAGACTGTCTCCAACAAATAATAATACAAAATAAAAAGCAGCCACAGTAGATCTCAGTCCATGTGAGTCTTAGGGAAACGCCAGCCTCACGTTGTTAGCTTCAGCACTGCCTTCCGAAACCACAAGGGAAAAGCCTAGTTCCTCTTCCTCATGGCAGCCTTTCAAATATCTGCAGGTGGCTCTTGAACAGTCTGACCACAGCCCAGCATAGGAGGCTGTCGGGAAAGCCGAGCACGAGTGAACGAGGGAAGTGTTTGGGCTGTGTGGGATCCGTGCTGTGTCGGCCCGAGGAGGGGAAGCCCAGCCTCACAGCTCTGACATGGCCCCCTCTCTCCTCCCCACAGAACAGGAGGTGAGGTTCCGCCCTGCACACTGGCCCCTGCCTCGGCCCACGGCCATCCATCACATCGTGGAAGACTTCTTAACAGACTGGACTGCCCCGATCGGGCACATCCTACCTCTGAGGCGCTTCCTGGAGAACTGTTTGGACACCGATTTGCGAAGCTTCTATGCAGGTAACTTAAGCTCCCAGAAAGACAAAGGGTCTGAGCT
This sequence comes from Homo sapiens, assembly GCF_000001405.40. Lineage (NCBI taxonomy): Eukaryota > Metazoa > Chordata > Mammalia > Primates > Hominidae > Homo > Homo sapiens. The sequence continues at coordinate 36,493,595 of NC_000022.11, read as the reverse complement.
CCAGGTTGAAGAAAGGTCACAGAGACCCAAGACCCGTGGAGTTTCAGGACCCATATCTGGAAATCCAAACCCCAGACTACTGTTCCCGACAATGCCGTGGGTTAAATTACAACTCACCTAAAAATAATGGATAATATGTCTTCTTTTTTTTTTTTTTGAGATGGAGTCTCGCTCTGTTGCCCAGGCTGGAGTGTAGTGGCGCAATCTCAGCTCACTACAACCTCCGCCTCCCGGGTTCAAGCGATTCTCCTGCCTCAGCCTCCCAAGAAGCTGGGACTACAGGCACATGCCACCATGCCCAACTAATTTTTTTATTTTTTAGTAGAGATGGGGTTTCACCATATTGGCCAGGCTGGTCTCGAACTGACCTCGTGATCCGCCTGCCTCAGCCTGCTGAAGTGTTGGGATTACAAGTGTGAGCCACCGCACCCAGCTGATAATATGTCTTTTCAAAAGGATTAGCAGGGCCAGGCGCCATGGGAAGGCGCCAGGGCCAGGTATGGGTGGGAAGACAGAGCTGGAGCAGGATGGGAGGCCTGTTTAGAGACACTCCAATAAAGCTTGGATCTCAGTAGGGAAGCTGGGAGCCAAAACCCTCCAAAGGAGGAGATAGATGACATGCATGGTTTTGGCCCTAGATAGAGTGGGAGAGAAAAATCTCTGAAAATATTCAACCAGTAGGCCCTGCTTATGTAAATTTGGGGCCAAACTTCATGAGATCATTGAGCTATAGAAATCACAGAAGCAAATGCACACCTTCTCAAGAAATACACTTTTAGGCCAGGTGCAGTGGCTCACGCCTGTAATCTCAACACTTTGGGAGGCCGAGGTGGGTGGATCACCTGAGGTCAGGAGTTCGAGACCAGCCCTGGCCAACATGGTGAAACCCCATTTCTACTAAAAGTAGAAAAATTAGCTGGGGGCAGTGGTGGGTGCCTGTAATCCCAGCTACCTACTCGGGAGGCTGAGGCAGGAGAATCGCTTGAACCCGGAAGGCGGATGTTGCAGTGACCCGAGATCATGCCACTGCACTCCAGCCTGGGCAACAGAGCGAGACTCCATCTCAAAACCAACAACAACAAAAATGCCAGGGTGTGTGAGGGAGTGAATTCCCACCCTGAGTTGTGGGTCCCACCAATGCATTGTCCCAGGCCCTTTAGCCTCCTGTCTCCCACTTTCTAGACACTGTTTGACTGTACAGGCCACTGTGTGCTGCTGCCTTGGACTGGAGAGAATCCGCCCAGCAGGCGGCCAGCTGGCATAGTGGCAGCCGTCCCTCTGTTACTGTAGCTGATGTGCAGCTGTTAGTGCTGGCCCCAGATTCTGCTGAGCATCTGAGCCCCCTGCAGAAGGGATGATGTTGTCAGAAGGTGGTGCCTGCCAAACAGCCACCTTGCTGCCCTCCCAGTCTTCCCGCTGTCCTCTTCCTCATCTGCTCTCTTACCCGCTTGGAGAGGCTTGCCATGGCCTGGCCTCCCAGGGGCCTCCATGCTAAGAGTCAGAAATAAACAGGAAGTCATATTTCTGGAGCACCTTTCAGCCTGGTCACCCATGGAAGCCTCACGACATCCTTTGTGCTGTGCCCATTTTTCACTTGAGATAGAGGGGCTCAGGGAGGCAAGAAGGCTCGCTCAGAGTTACAGAAGGACTCCAGCCCATTCCTGACACTCTGTCTGCCCTTGTCTCTAACTCCCTCAGAAGGCTGAGCCCATATCTGTGTCAGCTCTTCTGTTTGTTTAAAGTCTTATAAGTACTTGGCTAAATGACTTTTTCTCACTGTATTAGTCTGTTCTCACATTGCTATAAAGAAATACCTGAGACTGTAATTTATAAAGAAACAGGTTTAATTGGCTCACAGTTCTGCAGGCTGTATGGACGCATGGCAGCATCTATTTCTGGATGCTGGATCACGCCTGTAATCCCAGCACTTTGGGAGGCCGAGAAAGGCAGATAGCTTGAGGTCAGGAGTTCAAGACAAGCCAGGCCAACATGGTGAAACCCTCTCCCTACTTAAAAAACACAAAAATTAGCTGAGCGTGGTGGCGGGCACCTGTAGTCTCAGCTACTGGGGAGGCTGAGGCAGGAGAATCACTTGAACCCAGAAGGCAGAGGTTGTAGTGAGCTGGGATCGTGCCACTGTACTCCAGCCTGCCTGGGCAACAGAGGGAGACTCTGCCTCAAGAAAAAAAAAGAAAAAGAAACCACTCCTGTGATGCAGTCACCTCCCAGCAGCCCCACCTCCAGCATTAGAGATTGCATTTCAACATGAGATTTGGGCGGGGACACAGACCCAAACTATGTCACCCGCTTTCCCTACCTTCATTCTCATTCCCACGAGGAACTCCCAGACCTAGCGGTTGTTCCTTTCAGTAGCTTCTCTCTTTGCATGGCTTCTTTTGGTTGTTTCTTCATATTTCTTTTTCTTTCTTTTTTTTTTCGAGACAGAGTCTCTGTCACCCAGGCTGGAGTGCAGTGGCACGATCTTGGCTCACTGCAACGTCCGCCTCCTGGATTCGAGTGATTCTCCTGCCTCAGCCTCCCGAGTAGCTGGGATTACAGGTGTTTGTCACTACGCCTGGCTAATTTTTGTATTTTTACTAGAGACGGGGTTTCTTTCTCATTATGTTGGCCAGGCTGGTCTCGAAGTCCTAACCTCAGGCGATCCACCGGCCTCGGCCTCCCAGAGTTGTCGGATTAAGGCGTGAGCCACCACGCCCGGCCGTTTCTTCATATTTCTACATGATAAGTATCCACAGCTATCTTATGATTGACCAAATTTGATTCATGCACCAGCTTTCTGTTGTGGGACAGATGAGGATATACCCGTTTTTCTTTATCCCCCACACTGTTTAGATCAGAACTTTGCACATGGTATTTGCAACTCAAATGTTGTTGAGGGACTGCGTCTTTGCAGGCAGATCTGAGCTCACAGTGGAACTGACCACTGAGTTCCCAGCCGCACCAGGCCGAGGGTCTGCTCATGAAGGTCGGAGCCCCGCCCCCAGTGTGGTTGCCTGCAGAGCCCGGTGCTCAGCCCTGATGTCTGGGAGCTGAGGCATTGCTGTGGTTTGCTTTTATTTTGGAGCCTTGTTCTTCCAGAGTGTCAAGGCAGCCCCCTGCCCTGGAGCCTCGTGGAGGGTCATGATTCATGACCTACTCAGGTTGGACGTGAGATGCCCAGAAAGGTCAGCTCCCAGTTTCAAGGGATGGAAGATACCAGGCAAGGCCTGCAGTGAAGCCCCCACACCTGGCATTGGCAGCTCCCCTTTCTGCACCCCTCCCCACATGTCCCAGCCTGGCTCATTCTCCTCATTTTGCTTTTGTGTAGAGTCCTGCTTCCTGTTCGCCCTCACGCGCCAGAAGTTGCCACCCTTTTGCCAGCAGGGGTACCTGAGGATGCAGGGACTCGTGAGTACCGAGAGCCTTTGGCAGCACAGAGTGGAGAGCAGGCTCCTGCGGGACTATGCCCCCACAGGCAGGCGCCTGGAGGACAGCAGCCAGCAGCTTGGCGACCAAGAGCCACTAGGTTCCCCCCTGGCTCCAGGGCCTCTGGCTCAGTCCGTCGATAGCAACAAAGAGGAGCTCTGACTGTCCCTTCCTAAGCTGTGGGCACAGTGGCCAGGCCTCCCCACCTAGGCCCATGGTCAGTCCCTCTTTCCCCGCAACCTCACACTCCCGCCAATGCGTGATTGCCAAAGACCACTCAGATCATGGCAGTGTCTGCAGCAAAGCCACCAGATGGCACGTGAGGGCTGAAAGTCGGGGATGCGGTGGTCTCCTCCCTCCTGTCAGGGGGCAGAAGGGCATCCTCTGCCAGGTGGGAGCTGCCTTCCCCAGCCCAGTTTGTCTGCAATGGAGCTGTCGCTGAGCCCCAGGCCAGCCCAGTTCTGCCCCGTCTCAAGTGCTCCTCTTCCTTCCAAGCCCCTCCTCAGATGGGCCTGCATCCCGCCTGTGGAGTGCTTCACAGGGGAAACCCATCCGCATCTTAAGAGTTTGTGGCAAGCGCTTTAAAACAAAAGCTCTGATATCCTCAACAACCACAATGGGCAGGTGGGATTGTTGCCCCAGATGACTGCTGAAGACACCAGCTGTGGGATGTCAAGTAATTCCAGGGACCCCCAGCTGGGAGTCCCCGTCTGTGTCACTTGCCACACACTGCCTCAACCTCCCCGCCCCATTTTCAGCAGGGTTTGGGCTTAGCTACAGAGCCCAAGAGGGTCAGCCCTGCTTATCATCATAGGCCCAGCAGGCTGATCTCGAGCAGCGATAGGACAGCTCCCTGCAAAGCCATCTTAGCAACTTTCTCACTGAGAAGCAGGATTCAGAGCTGCTCTCCCCAGTTGCACCCCCTGACTCATCTTCCAGCTGGCTCTTCTCTCCCATCCTACTCCCTTCTGTCTCCCTGCCCTCTGCCATCCTGAACCATGCCTTGCTTCTAACCTGCCTGGTCAAGTTTTGTGAAACTTATCCTGCTGTCTCGGGCTGGCACCCATATGTGCTCACCATGTGTAAGGTGACATTTCCAAATGCCTTTGTGTGATAATGATGATGAATTTGGTTCCTAGTCTCTTCTTCATTGCCCTTCCTCACCAGCAATCTGCACTTTCCCATCAGGCGTCTTAGTCTCATTTGTAAGTGCATAAGATAATCACAGTGATTTTTCAAAGCCCAGGATCATAAGTGATTGCTTTTTCACTGGTTCTTACTAACTCTTCATGTATCCACTCAGAATTCCAAGGACAATCCCAGCACTCTGGGAGGCCCAGGCAGGTGGATCACCTGAGGTCAGGAGTTTGAGACCAGCCTGACCAACATGGAGAAACCCTATCTCTACTAAAAATACAAAACTAGCCAGGCGTGGTAGCACATGTCTATAATCCCAGCTACTGGAGAGGCTGAGGCAGGAGAATCACTTAAACCCGGGAGGCAGAGGTTGCAGTGAGCCGAGATTGCGCCATTGCACTCCAGCCTAGGTAACAAGAGGGAAACTCCATCTCAAAAAATAAGTTAATTAAATTAAATTAAAATAAAACATGCGCTGGGTACAGTTGCTTACACCTGTAATCCCAGCACTTTGGGAGGCCAAAGTGGGCCGATCACCTGAGCTCAGGAATTCGAGACCAGCCTGGCCAACATAGCAAAACCTTGTCTCTACTAACGGTAAAAAAAATTAGCTGGGCATGGTGGAGCATGCCTGTCATCCCAGCTACTTGGGAAGCTGAGGCAGGAGAATTGCTTGAACCTGGGAGGTGGAGGTTGCAGTGAGCAGAGACCGAGCCACTGTACTCCAGCCTAGGTGACAAAGCAAGACCCACAGTAAAGCCCCCACACCCCATCTCAAAAAAATAAAAAATAAAAAAGAACAAAGTATGCTACAACAAAAGTGAAAAGAGAAAAAGAATTCCAAGAACCCGGGCTTTCTGGATCCAAAGCTCTTTCATGGGGACGTCCTCTTCCCCTCTTGGCTTGGTCCAGACTTTTTCTTTTTCTTTTTTTTTTTTTTTGCAATGGATTTCGCTCTTGTCACCCAGGCTGGAGTGCAATGGCACGATGTCGGCTCACTGCAACTTCTGCCTCCCGGGTCTAAACAATTCTCTTCCCTCAACCTCCCAAGTAGCTGGGATTACAAGCGCCTGCCACCACGCCCAGCTAATTTTTGTATTTTTAGTAGAGACAGGGTTTCACCACATTGGCCAGGCTGGTCTCGAACTCCTGACCTCAGGTGATCCACCTGTCTTGGCCTCCTAAAGTGTTGGGATTACAGGCATGAGCCACCACGCTCGGCCCAGTCCAGACTTTTTAACTACCTGGCCCCACTGCAGACACAGTTCCCTCTAGTCCTTCCCAGAGTTACAAGAAGAGAACTCCAGTAGCCTTATTCTGTCAGGGACGAATTGTTTACCCCATGATAATGTAGGATATCATAAATTCTTCTTCAAAGGTTTTAGCCTGTAATTTGTTAAGTACATTGAGTTCTGAGATCCTCTCCAAAGAACCAATGTATCAGTATGTTCAGCTCACCTGTTCTTTGTTCTTCATTTTAACTTTTAATTTCCTCATTCTTTATGTCTCCTTGCCCCTAGTTTCAGTAAACAATCCCCTCCTAGCCTCTGTCACCTGCTCTGACCTGAGTCACCTTTAGTCACCTGGTCCGTAACCATCTTTCCTGTCTAAACTTCTCACCCCACCACTCTGGCTTATACCCCTGCTCTCTTTAAAATAGCCAGTCAGAATTAGCTTAGATTGTGCGGTCCAACCCTAGCCCATAGGGGAACAACACAGCAGTAGGGGGTACCTGCATCAGGGATAAGAACCCATTCCCCTCCCTTGTTCCGGTGTGCTCTCGCCATTGCACCATCCATGAGACGCACTCTTGTATAGAAGTAAAATTGCCTTGCTGAGAAAATGTATGTTTGAGTGCTATTTCTTTTGTGGCACTGAAAATTTATTTCTAACAAATTTGGGGTCTCATTTGGGATTCCCATCCTCCTCTGAGGAGGGTCTAGACCTCTCCCATGAGGAGGCACGTCCCACTGCCTTGTTGCGGTGGCCACAGGGGTAAGGAATCGAGACCAACCAGTGTGACGAATAAACCTATACTCTCAGCAAGGCAGAAAGAAACGGGCTGGCGACCTGGGGGAAAGGATCCTCATGTACCACAGCGACCAAGTAAGTGTGCAGAGACCAAGCTAAGAAACATCGCAGGGGTGACAAAGTATTTCCTTGGTGGTCAGGATATTCTGGGGGTTGAAAGTGTGCATGAATGCAAGGAGCCTCCAGCAGGTGGGGCTAAAGGATAGGCGAGACATCTCCAACAGGGGAGATTGAGCTTAACCAGGACCCAAGATGGGAAATGCCCCAAGTAAGGTAAGAGATAAAAAGGAGAAAGCTAGCAACAGTAATATTCCCCCAGGCCTAATGTTAAAATGTTAGAAGGATAATGAAAGGACCAAAAACAAAAGCAGCTGCTGTCCCAGACCCTTCTCCTATCTCTGATGTCCCCTTTCTTACAACCCTGCCTCTTGAGAATCGTCCCAAGAGCCCACTCACTACCGACCTAAGTACCTTTCCCTTAAAGGACTTCAACGTGAGATAGAGCAATGTAAAAAAGATATTCAGAATTTCCCTTTCCCCTCTTCTCGGGGGAAGAAAGAGACATGATCCATAGAGCTGCTATGGGAGCCTAGGAACACGAACACCCTCCTGGCCAAAACGTTCCTACAGCAGATCAAAAAACTCCCACCCAAGACCCCCAGTGGGACAATAACAACGCAGCCCACCGAGAAAATATGCAGGACCTTAAGGAATTGATAATAAAGGGGATTAAAGCATCAGTACCCCGAGGCTGGGCGCAGTGGCTCACGCCTGTAATCCCAGCACTTTGGGAGGCCGAGGCAGGCAGATCACAAGGTCAGGAGATCGAGACCATCCTGGCCAACACAGTGAAACCCCGTCTCTACTAAAAAATACAAAAAAATTAGCTGGGCATAGTGGCAGGCGCCTTTAGTCCCAGCTACTCAGGAGGCTGAGGCAGGAGAATGGCGTGAACCCAGAAGGCGGAGCTTGCAGTGAGCCGAGATCACGCCACTGCACTCCAGCACTCTAGCCTGAGCAACAGAGCAAGGCTCCATCTCAAAAAAAAAAAAAAAATTGGTACCCCGAACTCAGTATCTTACCCGAATATTTGATATACAGCAAGGGAAAGATGAAGGGCCTATAGAATTTTTAGATAGATTAAAGGAACAAATGAGAAAATACACTGGTCTAGGTCTCAAGGATCCTCTTGGGCAGGGAATGTTAAAACTTCATTTTGTCACTAACAGTTGGCCAGATATTAACAAGAAATTACAAAAGATAGAGAACTGGAAAGATAAACCTATAGAAGAGCTTCTAAGAGAAGCCCAAAAGGTATATATAAGAAAAGATGATGAAAAACAAAAGCAGAAGGCAAAAATTCTGCTGTCTACCATACAACAAAGTACCCAGGGGGCCAGAACCTATAAAGAACCTAGACTGAGGGCTGGGCGCGGCGGCTCACGCCTGTAATCCCAGCACTTTGGGAGGCCAAGGCGAGCGGATCACGAGGTCAGGAGACCAAGACCATCCTGGCTAACACGGTGAAACCCCGTCTCTACTAAAAAAAAGCAGCCGGGCATGGTGGTGGGCGCCTGTAGTCCCAGCTACTCGGGAGGCTGAGGCAGGAGAATGGCGTGAACCCAGGAGGCGGAGGTTGCAGTGAGCCAAGATCGCGCCACTACACTCCAGCCTGGGCGACAGAGCGAGACTCCGTCTCAAAAAAAAAAAAAAAAAAAAAAAAAGAACCTAGACCCCCACTCTCCAGGCAATATATAGAGTATGAAAGAGTAAAGCCAGGAGACTCAAAAGTAAAGAAAAAAAAAACTTAGAGGAGAGAGAAAGACTGACAGAACAGACAGAGTCAAAGAGAGAGAGACAGGCAAAAAGGGAAAGAGAGAGGCAGAGAGAAAGGCAAAGGGAGAGAGTCAAAGAGGAAGAGAGAGGCAGAGAGAGAGGCAAAGAGAAAGAGTGAGAGAGAAAAAGAGGCAGAGAGGGAGAGGCAAAGGGAGAGAAAGAGGACAAAATAAATGTTTCAGATTAAAAATAGGTCACTTCAAAAGAAAATGTCCCAAATGGGAAAAAGAACAAAAGTCATATATAAAAGCAAATCAGCTAATATTAAATTTCTGTTTATTCCAGAGGCAGGAACAAACCTATTAGAGAGATTTAATGCTAAAATTTGGCTTAGGCCTCTATATTAATCAGGGAAGATTCCTCCCCTCCCTAAACTTGCTCCCCACCACAGACAAAGAACTCATTCATCCCAAGGTATGGTCAAAAGACGAGAATCGAGGAAAGTTACAGATTACTCAGTTTCATGTTAAATTACAAACCCCTGGGGAAGTAGTAAAGAGAAAGCAATGTATCCTATTCCTTTCAAAGCCGAGGTAAATTTAAAACCTATAATTGATAATTGAAGGTCTTCTCCGTGATGGATTTCTTAAACCCTGTATGTCTCCCTATAACATTCCAATACTGCCTGTAAAGACGCCAGACAGGTCATACCGGTTAGTGCAAGACCTTAGAGCTATTTTTTTTTTTTTTTTTTTTGAGACAGAGTCTTGCTCTTTCGCCCAGGCCAGAGTGCAGTGGCACTATCTCGGCTCACTGCAAGCTCCGCCTCCCGGGTTCACGCCATTCTCCTGCCCAGCCTCCCGAGTAGCTGGGGCTACAGGCGTGTACCACCACGCTTGGCTAATTTTTGTATTTTTAGTAGAGATGGGGTTTCACCATGTTGGCCAGGCTGGTCTCGAACTCCTGACCTCAAGTGAACTGCCCGCCTTGGCCTCCCAAAGTGCTGGGATTACAGGTGTGAGCCACCACGCCTGGCACCATGTTTGTTTTTTTAAAAAGCAGATCACCACCCACTAAATTAATTTTGCAAACCCACTGACGTCCATATCCTGCAGTTTGAAAAACACTGCAATAAATATTGGTAGGAGGTAGAAGTTTTACCCTTAGCCCAGGCTGCCAGTCCTGGCTTCCTTCCCTTTGCCTCTCAGCTGTGCCCTGAGCCTGCTTGTGACTAAGCCAGACCCAGGCCAGCTCAGCTCTAGCTGGACAGAGGAGCCACCATGTAGCTGAGAGCCCTTTTGTAGCGCGCCGAGAGCTCAGCCTTCTCTGTGTCTCTCAGGCTTTCCCTGCAGGAGTCATCAGGCAGCAATGATGTGGATTCTGTCTCTACTGCAACCCTCAGCCCAGCTATGAGAAAGGCATTCTTCCCATTGCTCAGATGAGAAGCCTGAGGCCGATCAGGGTGAAGTGACTATGGCATAAGGACAAACAGGACTGGTCCGCCTGTGAAATTCAGAATGTGAATTAGGCAGGAAAATTGGCTCTCTAGAAAATACTGTGGAAGTGCTGAATAGGATTGATAGGTGGCTGTGGAAAAGAAAGTGCTAGAGACACAGAAAACCGATACAAAAATGGGCAGGGCGGCCAGGCGCGGTGGCTCACGCCTGTTATCCCAGCACTTTGGGAAGCCGAGGCGAGCGATAACTTAAGGTCAGGAGTTCGAGACCAGCCTGGCCAACATGGTGAAATATAAAATTTCTGTACCAAAAATATAAAAAATTAGCCAGGTGTGGTGGTGCTCGCCTGTAATCCCAAGTACTTGGGGGGCTGAGGCAGGAGAATCCCTTGAACCCTGGAGGTGGAGGTTGCGGTGAGCCAAGATCATGCCACTGCACTCCAGCCTAGCTACAGAGCAAGACTCCGTCTCAAAAAAAAAAAAAAAAAGGCTGGGTGCAGTGGCTCACGCCTGTAATTCCAGCACTTTGGGAGGCCCAGGTGGGCAGATCATGAGGTCAATAGATCGAGACCATCCTAGCCAACATGGTGAAACTCCGTCTCTACTAAAAATATAAAAATTAGCTAGGCGTGGTGAGGCACGCCTGTAGTCCCAGCTACTGGGGAGGCAGAGGGAGAAGAATCCCTTGAACCCAGGAGGCAGAGGTTGCAGTGAGCCGAGATCGCGCCACTGCACTCCAGCCTGGGCAACAAGAGCGAGACTCTGTCTCAAAAAAAAAAAAAAAAAAAAAAAAAACTTTGATCAACAATTTGGAAACTGCCTGTTCTTTTAAAAACGCTCTTTCAGCTGCTGCTAATCCGAGTGTATATTCAGGACAACTTGAATCTCTGCTCCGAGTTGCAGTCTTCGAACTTGACCCAAAAAAACTCCCTGCTTAAATTAGGCTCGCCTCAGTTTTCATTTGTTTTCCTTTAGGCGGACACAGACGAGGGCCACTTAAAGGATGGCCCCTAAACTCCCGGTTGAGTTCTTTTACATATAAAGGGCATCATGCCTTTGAGGAGCTTAGCTTTACATATTAAATGGAGAAACAGAACCTGTCAACATCTGTAGGAAGTGGACAGCGCCAGTTATAAACAGGAGGCCAGGCAAGGTGGCTCACGCCTGTAATCCCAGCACTTTGGGAGGCTGAAGCGGGCGGATCACTTGAGCTCAGGAGTTCCAGACCAGCCTGGCCAACATGGCGAAACTCCGTCTCTACTAAAAATACAAAAATCAGCCCGGCGTGGTGGCGCGCGCCTGTAATCCCAGCTACCTGGGAGGCTGAGGCAGGAAAATCACTTGAACCCGGGATTTGGATGTTGCAGTGAGCGGAGATCACGCCACTGCACTGTAGCCTGGGAGACAGAGCGAGACTCTGTCATTAATAAATAAATATATGTAAATAAAATAAAGCAACAAGAGTTTGCAAAATCCAAAACCACGGGGACTTCTCAACTGCCTTTTCTCCCTTAAGTACCCTCCATTGCTACCCCTGCTCCATCACCTCCTCTTCCGGTCCCTCCTCTAGGGCCCGCCCACCCCTTCCGTTTCCGCCCCGCCCCGCCCCCGCCTTCGCCCAGACCAGGGCCCGCCCGCCTCTTCCAATCCGTTCCCCGACGGCCTGCCCATTGCTTCCGGTCCGTAGCTGAGGCCCCGCCCCTTCAACTGTGCCTCAGCCCGCCATTCCCATTGGCGGAAAATCCCAGACGCCCCTCAAATTGGAGAGGGACAGATGGGCGCTGTGGCTCACGCCCGTAATCACAACCCTCTGAGAAGCCGAGGCGGGCGGATCACGAGGTCAAAAGATCGAGACCGTCCTGGCCAACGTGGTGAAACCCCGTCTCTACTAAAAATAAAAAAATTAGCTGGGCGTGGTGGCGCGCGCCTCTAGTCGGGAGGCTGAGGCAGGAGAATCGCTTGAACCCGGAAGGCGGAGGTTGCAGTGAGCCGAGATCGCGCCACTGCACCCCAGCCTGGCAACAGAGCGAGACTCTGGCTCAAAAAAAAAAAAAAAAAAAAAAAAAATTGGAGAGGGACGCTCTTCCGCCTGCCTGTACCCGGAAGTGACGTTATGTACGTCCCCCCCCGAGGAAGTGACGACAGGCGTGCCCTTGACAGGCAGGGAGGGCTAGGCTGTGCATCCCTCCGCTCGCATTGCAGGGAGGTAGGAGCCCTGTGGGGGTGGCTCGAGGTGGTGTCGCGGCTGAGGCATGCCGCGAGCGCGTTCCTGCGCAGGCTGGCGGCCGGGCGGGCGGGGGGATCTAGCTCGCCGGAGAGCCAGGGTCCCTGGTGATGTCCGATTTTTCCCAGTTCCCTCCACACATGTCCCTTCTTTATTGGTTCCCTCCAGTACATGTCTCTTCGTTTTTGGTTCCTCTCACACTCTTAGTTCCTCCTTGAATTGTTGCGTTTCATCTTTTCAGACGACCCTGGGTTCCAGTGTTGGCTGTCATTTAATAGCGGGGTTACTTTGGGCATGTCACTTAACTTACTTGAGCCTCGTATTCCTTCCCTTACTCGCAGTGTGGGCAGTACAATAGCAACTTCCTGGAAGTTGCTGTAGGAAGACCAATAATGTGTGTAAGGTACTTGGTCCTTACATACATTATTAAATCTGTTGGTTTCTTCCTCCCATTCTTCCGTTATAATCTAAATCCCGATTTCTTTTTGGTTGTGAAGCCAGTTTTCCTGTCCTTCTGGTTTGCCTAGCTGTTCCTTCCCTTTGATTCTCATTGCTTCCTCACTTCCACGCTACAAATCTTACATATGATTTCCTTGCATTTTGCTTCCAACTCTGCCTCTTCCTGAGCCCTGAGTACTCCCCAAATCTTTTTCTAGTGTGTCGACTTCCTTTTGTGTGCCCCAGTTCTTCTGCCTCTTTCCCTCACAGATGGCTCAGCGACTTCTTCTGAGGAGGTTCCTGGCCTCTGTCATCTCCAGGAAGCCCTCTCAGGGTCAGTGGCCACCCCTCACTTCCAGAGCCCTGCAGACCCCACAATGCAGTCCTGGTGGCCTGACTGTAACACCCAACCCAGCCCGGACAATATACACCACGAGGATCTCCTTGACAACCTTTAATATCCAGGATGGACCTGACTTTCAAGACCGAGTGGTCAACAGTGAGACACCAGTGGTTGTGGATTTCCACGCACAGTGAGTATTGGGGGTCCACAGAAGACTAGGGTCCTACTTGTTCAAGTATTTATTGAATGCCTGCTGTGTCCCACGGCCATGTTCTATGCTGCTCATATGTAGACTCAATATACAGACTGGTCAGGCCCAGTCCCTGCCCTCAAGGGGAATGCAGTCTGGTGGAAGACAGACAAGTGAACAGTCTGCAAAGCTGACTGTTAGTGCTGGGAAACACATGTTCTGTTTCTCAATCCCCAGAAAGCTCAGCGTCATCTTTAGCATGGACCAGAGTTGGAAAAATATGACTGTCACCTTGCTTTTGGTGTATACCAGTTCCTGGCCCTGCAGATAAGCTGATGTTAACATCCTGCCATGAAAACCGCAAGAAGGGCTGGCAAAAAGTTATCAGTGTCGGCCGGGTGCGGTGGCTCATGCCTGTAATCCCAGCACTTTGGGAGGCCAAGGCGGGCAGATCACCTGAGGTCAGGAGTTCAAGACCAGCCTGGCCAACATGGTGATACCCTGTCTCTATTAAAAATACAAAATTAGCTAGGCGTGGTGGTGTGTGCCTGTAATCCCAGCTACTCGGGAGGCTGAGGCAGGAGAATCACTTGAACCTAAGAGGTAGTGTTTGTAGTGAGCTGAAGATCGCGCCATTACACTCCAGCCTGGGCAAAAAGAGTGAAATTCCATCTCAAAAAAAAAAAAAAAAAGTTATCGGTGTCACTACCGTGGTGCCCAAGCATACAGGGCATAGGAAGGAGTTTCCTTTCAGTGCTATCTGAGTTTGCTTTAGAGATATTTAAGTCCCTCTGGCCTTCTGAATTTTAGCCTGGGCTTTTTCATTTCTAGATCTTTGGGGCCTGGCTAGACACCCAACTACACAAAAGCTGGACAAAGCCCTCTGAATGAGGCATCCTGGGAGAAACCAGTGTAGCATAAGTTAAAAATTCAGGGGCCTTCAGGTCGGACGCAGTGGCTCACACCTGTAATCCCAGCACTTTCAGAGGCCGAGGCAGGTGGATTACCTGAGGTCAGGAGTTTGAGACCTGCCCAGCCAACATAGTGAAACCCCATCTCTACCAAAAATACAAAAATTAATCGGGCGTGGTGGCGGGCACCTGTAATCCCAGCTACCCAAGAGGCTGAGGCAGGAGAATCGCTTGAACCTGGGAGGTGGAGGTTGCAGTGAGCTGAGATCGCGCCATTGCACTCCAGCCTGGGTGACAGAGGGAAACTCCATCTCAAAAAAAAAAAAAAAGAAAAAGAAATTGAAGGGCCTTCTGGTCAGGTCTCTGACAGATTGTTTCGCTGGCTTTCCAGTTGTTTCTCTGACTCACCCTGTGGCCTTGGGCAGGCCACTTGATATCTTTGTGCTCCCTTTCTTCACTTGTAATAGGAGATAAGGTCTTGCACACTGGGTTTTTCAGTGTTATGAGTTGTTTTTGTTTTTCTTCTTTTAGAGACAAGGTCTCACTCTGTCACCCAGGCTAGAATGTAGAGTGCAGTGGTGCGATCACGGCTCACTGCAGTCTCTACCTCCTGATCTCAAGCAATCCTCCCACCTTGGCCTCCCAAAGTGCTAGGATTACAGGCATGAACCACTGCGCCAGGCCTGAGGGTTTTTTTTCCTTTTTTGTTTTTGAGACAGAGTCTCATTCTGTCACCCAGGCTGGACTGCAGTGGTTCAGTCAGCTCACTGCAACCTCCACCTCCCGAGTTAAAACAATTTTCCTGCCTCAGCCTCCCAAGTAGTTGGGACTACCACCCAGATAATTTTTTTGTATTTTTAGTAGAGACGGGGTTTCACCATATTGGCCAGGCTAGTCTCTCAAACTCCTGACCACAGGTGATTCTCTCCCGCCTTGGCCTCCCAGAGTGCTAGGATTACAGGTGTGAGCCATTATGCCCGGCCTATTTTTCAGCATTTAAAACCGTCAGGCCTGGCTGGGTGCGGTGTGCACCACCACACCTGCTACTCAGGAGGCTGAGGCAGGAGAATTGCTTGAACCCGGGAGGCGGAAGTTGCAGTGAGCCGAGATCGCGCCATTGCACTCCAGCCTGGGCAACAGAGTGAGACTCCATCTCAAAAATAAATAAGTAAGTGCTGAGAATAAAATAGGAGTTGTCAGCCAGGGGTTTGTGAAAGGTGGAACTGTCTTGGCCTCCTGGTGTAGTGAGCATTCCAGAGAGGCCTTCCGAAATGAACAATAAATGGGATAATGCCTCATTTTGTTCAGTAAGGAAGTGGGGTGGTGTGAGTTGTTCATTCAGTGCCAGGCACTTTCCTTGGTGCCACATACATAGAGATGACAGCACCAGGCCTGTCCTGGATGAGCTTCCCCAGCGAGAGGGGAATACCTATGATCAGGGCAGTGATAATGGTCAACTCAGGGGCTGTGGGATCAGAGTAGCCTGTGGGTGAAATAAAACACTTTCTCTTTTTTTTTTTTTTTTTTTTTTGAGACAGAGTCTCTGTCGCCCAGGCTGGAGTGCAGTGGCACAATCTCAGCTCACTTCAACCTCTGCCTCCCAGGTTAAAGTGATTCTCCTGCCTCAGCCTTCCTAGAAGCTGGGATTACAGGCGCACACCACCACTCCTGGCTAATCTTTGTATTTTTAGTAGAGACGAGGTTTTACCATGTTGGCCAGGCTGATCTTGAACTCCTGACCTCAGGTGATCCGCCTGCCTCGGCCTCCCAAAGTGCTGGAATTATAGGCGTGGGTCACCGCACCCGGCCAAAGAAAACACTTTCAACACAGCTTTGGGTTGTGATCGATCCCAGCTGTGCTTCTCTAATCTTGCACAGGTTTCTTAACTCGTATGGGCTTCAGTTTCTTTGGAAGGTGTGTTCTCTTTGCAGAGTTGAGGGGTGTGTTTGGTAAAAGCAGAGAAAGTGAGCCAGGGACTGGTGCGTTGTAGACGCTCCAGGCCATTGGTTCCCCTCCTTTTAGTTCTGAGTCCACATGGTGTTTGAAATATCCCCACAGCTTCCAATGCATGTTTACCCACATTGCCTTAGTTGATCTCTCCTAATAGCTTTGAGAGCCATAATCTCTCTTTTTCAGATGAAGAAACTAGGGCCCAGGCCGGGCGCGGTGGCTCATGCCTGTAATCCCAGCACTTTGGGAGGCCGAGACAGGCGGATCACGAGGTCAGGAGATCGAGACCATCCTGGCTAACACGGTGAAACCCCGTCTCTACTAAAAAATACAAAAAATTAGCTGGGCGTGTTGGCAGGCACCTGTAGTCCCAGCTACTGAGGAAGCTGAGGCAGGAGAATGGCGTAAACCAGGGAGGCGGAGCTTGCAGTGAGCCGAGATCGCGCCACTGCACTCCAGCCTGGGGGATAGAGCGAGACTCCGTCTCAAAAAAAGAAAAAAAGGAAACTAGGGCCCCAGAATAATCAGCTGGTTGGTGAGAAGCCTCTGTTTGAACCTTTTAACTTCCAATCCCATATCCTTTTATATGACAGTATATTTATCTGAGATATACTGAAATGAGTCACTTTTATTATGAGTCTTCTGATGAGGCCTGTGTTTTAAAAGTCTGGGATCTGTGAAGATTTCCCATGTGCAGAATCTCCTGGCATTACCATTTGGTGTGTTAATTTTTAAACATGGTAAACAGAGATAATAAGGGCAAAAGATTCCTTGGAAAGATGCAGGTCTGGGAAGCCAGTAGGGGATGCTGAGCGCTCTTTTGACTGACTGGATGCTTCCTTTCTCGCCTTTTGAGGTGGTGTGGACCCTGCAAGATCCTGGGGCCGAGGTTAGAGAAGATGGTGGCCAAGCAGCACGGGAAGGTGGTGATGGCCAAGGTGGATATTGATGACCACACAGACCTCGCCATTGAGTATGAGGTATGGATTGACAGGGAGTTGCCACAGGGAAGCCAGTATAGGAGGTGTCAGGCCCAGGGATAGCTGGTGTAGGAGGTATCTTGGGGAGCACAGGTAGCCAGTAAGCAAGGTGTCTTGGTTTTTCCAGAGCTTTTTTTTTTTGAGACGGAATCTCTCACTGTCACCTGGGCTAGAGTGCAATGGCATGATCTCGGCTCATTGCAACCTCTGCCTCCCGGGTTCACGCGATTCTCCTGCCTCAGCCTCCCAAGTAGCTGGGACTACAGGCGCACACCACCACGCCCAGCTAATTTTTTGTATTTTTAGTAGAGACAGGGTATCACCATGTTGGCCAGACTGGTCTGGAACTCCTGACCTTATGATCCACCCACCTTGGCCTCCCAAAGTGCTGGGATTACAGGCATGAGCCACTGCGCCCAGCCGGTTTTTCGAGAGCTTTTAAGAGCTCAGAGCACTTTGCAGAGGTGGCTCTTGATCCTCTGAGCCACCTGTCTCTCTTCACCACCTTTAGGAAGTAGATCGTATGACCCAAAAACACCAGGTCATTCACTTAGTCTCAGACATTGGTACATTCCTTTATCCATCTACCCACATGTTCAGTGAGCAGTCATTTGGGAGCTCGATGTGCCAAGCATTTGTGATTCTGACACAAGATGAGATCTTGTTTCCAAGCAAGATCTCTCCTAGTCTAGCAGGAGAGAACAGCAGGTAGAAAGATCATCTCAATATAGAAGTGCTAAAAGAAGAGGCGCATAAAGGAAGAAGGGACTGTTTGCTTGTGGGGGAGCTGGAGGGGACAGGGAATGCTTCACGTTAGAGAGAACCTCTGAGCTGAGCCATGAGGGATGCGCAGAGGAGGAGGAAGGGCTGAGGAAACAGCGTGCACAAAGACATGGAGTCGTCTCACTTGGTTGGTTGGTTTGTCTGTTTATTCAGCAGATATTTGAGAGTCCCTCAAGTGCCAGGTAGTGTTACTTGGTGTTGAGGATAAGGCAGTGAACAAAACTGACAAAATCTCTGCCTCCGTGGAGTCTACATTCTAGTATTTTAAATCAAGGGTCAGCAAACTTTTTCTCTAAAGGACTGGTTGGTATTGGAAGCATTGCAGGGCAGTGGTCGCTGCTACAACCATTCAGCTGGGCTCGTAGCCGAAAGCAGCCATAGACACTATACAAACAAATGGGCATGGCTGTGTTACAATAAAACTTTATTTACAAAAACAAGCAGTAGGCTGTATTGGGCCTGTGAACTATAGTTTGCTGACCCCTGTTTTAGATAATAAGTTCAATGGAGAAAAATACATCAGGAAGAGAGGATGGGAGTACTGCGTATGAGGCAGGGTTTTTGTTTTTTCGAGACAGAGTTTTGCTCTTGTTGCCCAAGCTGGAGTGCAGTGGCACAATCTCGGCTCACTGCAACCTCTGCCTCCCGGGTTCAAGCAGTTCTCCTGTCCCAGCCTCCGGAGTAGCTGAGATTACAGGCACGCGCCACCACGCCGGCTAATTTTTTGTATTTTTAGTAGAAATGAGGTTTCACCATGTTAGCCAGGCTGGTCTTGATCTCCTGACCTCGGGTGACCCACCTGCCTTGGCCTCCCAAAGTGCTGGGATTACAGGCGTAAGCCACCGCGCCCAGCGGGTTTCTTTTTTAAAGGGTGGGATAGGGTAGATCTCCCTGATAAGCTGACCTTTGGGCAAAAACAGGAAGGGAGTGACTGAAGCATGTGGGTCTTTGGAAGAACAATTCAGGCAAAGCAAAAGCCCTGAGGTCTGATGAGCCTGGGTTGCTTACAGACCAGCAGGGGCCAGGTGCCTGGAGGTGTCTGGGTTGGGGGCTTCCTCTGGGCCTTGGAGACCACTACCTGGAGAAAGGGGAGAGGCCCACTTTGTCTGGGTGGCCAGAGTGAAGGGCCGAGTACGGAGCTGGGGAAAGCATAATGCAGCCGGATTGGGAGGGTCTCTGAATAGCCATGCTGAAGGTAGCGCTGTTACAGAGCCGAGGGCGCTCCTGGCAGCCTCTGGGCCCAACCTGGCTCACAGACACTTTTAGTCTGGCACTCGAAGTATTTTAAAGTAATAGGAAGCAGATGCTGATATTTGAAACTCAGATTTCATGTGAAAATCTCGATATCTGATTTTCTTGAAATATCTTAACCTGGCCGGAGTGAGCCTTCACCCCTCCCTCCTTCCTCCTCCAGGTAACAAGTGAATGAAAGAGGCCGCTTTATTCCTCAGAGTATACAAGTCCAGGTTTCACTCTTACTAGACCAGCTCAAATAGAGGCACCCATCCCTGAACCAGTCTCCTGCAGCAAGAAATGGGTGGTTGGGAGCGGGGTGAGAACAGGCTGGCCGCCCCTTGAGCTACGCAGGGAGTGGGGAGTGATTACCCAAAGGAACATCAGTCTGCAATGACCAGAAGCAGGGGAGATGGAGACCAGGCAGACAAACACGGTGGCCACTACAGGTGACCACTGGAGCAGGCCTGCTTTGGGAGTTAGGAACTGAGGGCTGTTTACAGGGGCTGGGGGAGGGGTGAGTCACTTTTTCAAAAAGTTTGGCCACTGATTGCTCAGTGAGGGAGGCATCTATCTGCCCATTTGGATGCCCCTGGCTTTCCCCTGCCTGGCTATGCCTCGGGTGAGAGCCCGGGCTGGGGCTCCTAGGGCCTCCCACAGGTCACGCGTGGGCTTCAGATGTCTCAGGCCTCCTGGCTCTGCCAGACACTACAGCTTCAGCTTCAGCCAATGTATTCATAACTCTTCAGCAGACACCCCCTGAGGGCCAGCCATGTGCAGGGACTATGGTAACTACTGCAGATGCAAAGAAGCCCACAGGCCCTGCTCCAGTGTCTCGTGGGGTGGCGGGAATGCCGAGGACCGTCCCCGGGAGGCTGTTGTGGGAGTGGGCACTGAAGGCCTGCGGTGAAGCCTGGGAAGTGAGAAGGAGATGCCTCCTGTGGAATCCTCTCAATCTCCCCCCACACCCACCGCTCCCGCCCTGTCCACTGCCTGGGGACTGTGCTGTCACACAGAAAGGCCTCAAGGCTGCTAGGCCCACATCACTTGGTCTCAGCCGTGTTGTTTAGCCAAACCCTGGTCTGACATCATTGCAGGGTTTAGGAAGCTCCAGCCAGGGTTCTTCCTGACCCCCTCCCTCTCTCCCTCCCTTCCTTCTTTCCTTCCTTCCTCTTTTCTTTCTGAAGAGAGCCTGAGGAAGAAGTTTCCTCTGAGAGAACTACAGTGCCCCCCATGATGGCTTTCTTTAAGGCCTAAAATCCTTTTTCTTTTTTGAGATGGAGTCTCGCTCTGTCGCCCAGGCTGGAGTGCAATGGCACGATCTCGGTTCACTGCAACCTCCGCTTCTCAGGTTCAAGCGATTCTCCTGCCTCAGCCTCCCGAGTAGCTGGGATTACAGGTGCCCACGACCACGCCCAGCTAATTTTTGTAGTTTTAATAGAGACAAGGTTTTACCATGTTTGCCAGGCTGGTCTCAAACTCCTGACATCAGGTGATCAGCCCGCCTCGGCCTCCCAAAGTGCTAGGATTGCGGGCGTGAGCCACTACACCTGGCCTAATTTTTGTATTTTTAGTAGAGATGGGGTTTCACCATGTTGACCAGATTGGTCTCAAACTCCTCACCTCAAGTGATTCGCCCACCTCGGCCTCCCAGAGTGCTGGCATTACAGGCATGAGCCACCGCGCCCGGCCACCAAGACTGCATTTCTAACAAGCTCCCAGGTAATGCCAGGGCTGGGTGTCCTGAGCCGACATGGAGAGAAGCCAATGTTCTGAAGGCCCCATACTGACTTTTTCATTCTGAAGGCCCCAGATTGACTTTCTGGTTCTGAAGGCCCCGGACTGACTTTCTGTGGGGAGGAACTGCTCTTTGGAAGGCCGTGTCTCAGCTGCCGCTCTCAGCACAGACTGCTTGCCAGTGAGAAAGTTCATGGACAAATGTATAATGGCATGTGTCCACCATTCCAGCGCCATACAGAACCGTTCCACCGCCCTCGGTTCCCCTGTTTTCCAGCAGTTCACCTCTCCTTCCTGCCCCTCACCCCCTTAACCCCCCAGCAGTCACTGATCTCATTTTTTGTTGTTGTTCTTTTTGAGGATTTTATGTTTTTAGGGCAGTTTTAGGTTCGTGGCAAAATTGAGAGGAAGGGGAAGGTACAGAGACTTCCCATAAGTCCCCTGTCCTCCCGCATGCCCAGCCTCCCACACTATCAACAGCCCATACCAGGGTGGTCCATTTGTCACAACTTATGAACCTACACGGACATCATTATCCCCCAAAGCCAAAAGTTTACATAGGGGATCACTCTTGGTGTTGTGCCTGCTGTGGGTTTGGACAAATGTGTCATAGCCGGTGTCCACATTCTAGCATCATCCAGAGTCATTTCACTGCCTCCATGTCCTCTCTCCTCTGCCTGTTCATCTCTCCTTCCTCCTCCCTCCAGGCCTGGCGACTCTTGATCTTTTCACTGTCTACCTAATTCTGCCAGAATGTTATGTAGTTCATTTTTTCAATAATCGTTTTTCCAAGAACCCTCTCATATCTAAAAGCTTTTACAAAGCACTTGGCATTTTGCATTTGAAGCATGAAATCCTTTAATGCGTCCCCACGTTCTTCCCCCTGCTGGGACTCAGTAGATGTCTCTCTCTCTTTGCTGCTGGGCAGAAGCACAACAGAGTTTGATCCCCTGGACTGCAAAGTCAAACAGATCTTGTTTCAGATCCCAGCTTTTTTTTTTTTTTTTTTTTAGAGGGGGTCTCACTCTTTTCACCCAGGTGGAGTGAAGTGGCGCAATCTCGGCTCACTGCGACCTCCATCTCCCGCATTCAAGCACTTCTCCTGCCTCAGCCTCCCAAAGTGCTGGAATTACAGGCGTGAGCCACCACGCCCGGCCTAATTTTTGTATTTTTGGTAGAGACAAGGTTTCACCACATTGGCCGGCCTTGTCTCGAATTCCTGACCTCAGATGATTCACCTTCCTCAGCCTCCCAAAGTGCTGGGATTACAGGCAGGAGCTGCCGCGCCTGTCCTACACCACATCATTTTGGAACAGTTGCTCACCCTTTGAGCCTCAGTATTCTCATCGTTAAAATGATCCTGCCCACAGCCAGGAGAGTGTGAGATAGTGTATAGAGGTGTTTATATCATTCCTGACACGAAAAAGCACCCAGCATGTGACAGCGATCTTTTCCTTTTAACTCTGCAATGAGCCGAGGAGGAGGTTGCAACATCCCGCAGCACCCAGCACTGTGCCTTTCCCTTGGTAGGCCCTTAGCTGAGTTAACAGATGGATGCCATCGGGGTGGGACAGGAGAAGACATACCAGGACACGGAGCTCAGTGGCGGTGCAGGCGAGCTACGGGTTAGCAGAAAGAGACTGCGCACACGTACACACTCCCCCACTCCTGCCGAGTTCAGAGGGTCTTTATCCAAGGATAGGAGGTTCCAAGTGGCTTCACGGAACAGGACAGGCAACACGTCGTAGCGTATCTTTTCCTCAGCCCCTCAGTTGGCTCAGTCACTGCCTCTTTCACACTCAAAACATTCCAGAAGAATGTGCCAAGGCCCTGTGCACTTCCATGTAAGGCAGTGTTTACAGGCACCGGCACCTCCTGATGTGTGAGCCAGACACAGGAGCAGCAGAGCTTCAGCCGCCTCCTCAGGGTCGAGGGAAGTCCCATTCCAGCTCAGGTTTCCTGTGAGCCCCTAGTGCGGGTAGTGTGTATGTGTGTGTGTGTATATATGTGTGTATGCGTGTGTGTGTTTAAGCTCAACTTCAAAATATCCCCTTGATCAGTAGTGACCAGACCTCCATTGACAGCACATCTGCTGTCTACCTGACACCAGCAGGGTCTGTGCGTGTTCAAGCATGTGTGGAGGTTTACATGAGTGAGATCATTATGGCCTTCATCTGGAGTTCTTTTTTTTTTTTTTTAATATTTTTATGGAGACGACGTCTTGCTATGTTGCCCAGGCTGGTCATGAATTCCTGACCTCAAGCAGTCCTCCTGCCTTGGCCTCCCAAAGTACTTGGGATTACAGGTGTGAGCCACTGTGCTTGTGCCTATCTGGAGTTCTTAAGGAACGCTAAGTCCACTCTCTGAGCCTCTTCAGTGAACTTAGAGTCTTGCCGTGAAAAAAGTTAGGCCACTTCTTATACAGTGGCATAAAGCATATATTTTAATTAAAGGAATAGGACAGTGTGCAGGTGGGAGCCGGTGGCTGAGCTCTCTGCTTCTGCCAAGAGGCTCCGGCTTTGAGGCACTCCAGCTGCCTTTGCAGACCACTAGAGGGCACCAAAGAATGCCTGGGAAGGCCCTGGTGGCTTCAGGCGCTTCCTGGAGCAAACTCTTTCGGGCCCTGCTCTGCCTGGAGACAGGGTTTGCCACCCACATCAGCCCAGGGACAGCCTTTGAAGGGGCCTGAGGCACTAACAAGGACAAGGACTGTGTCCTGTGACCTGCTGTGTTTGTCCCCAAAGTGTCCGTGAGGAGTGGGGTGCAGGGCCTGCCACGTAAAGTTAGTGGGTGAGGGCGGGATGGTCTGGCCTGCGTGCCTTTCCTAACTACCATGTGCATGGTTTTTGAACATTCTGAATCTTACTGGCTTCCAAGATGGGCCGTGGCAGGGCAGCACTGGGATATGTGAAGACCTGGTATGTTTGTGTGAATCTCTGCTCTTACTTTGTAGTTTAATTTGTATGTAAGAAAAGTCTGTGTTTATCTTGTTCTGTTTATTTTTATTTATTTATTTTGAGGGGGGGAACAGAGTCTTGCTCTGTCGCCCAGGCTGGAATGCAATGGCACAATCTCAGCTCAGTGCAACCTCTGCCTCCCGGGTTCAAGCGATTCTCCTGCCTCAGCCTCCCGAGTAGCTGGGACTATAGGCATGCCCCACCACGCCCGGCTAATTTTTGTATTTTTAGTAGAGACGGGGTTTCACCATGTTGGTCAGGCTGGTCTCGAACTCCTGACCTCAAGTGATCTGCCCGCTTTGGCTTCCCAAAATGCTAGGATTACAGGCGTGAGCCACAGCGACCGGCCTATCTTGTTCTGTTTAAATGGTTTTCTCAAATGCCCACGAATGCCAGGCAGGGATCCCAGGCAGCAGAGACCTCACAATGCCAGTCTGGTGGGCCACAGCCTCATCCACGTTCCACATAACCTATGCAGGTCCCTGAGGGAACTGAGTAAATGCTTCACAGACCAAGAATGTTGTCCTTGCCATCTGCCTGCAACCTGCTAATAAGCGTCAGGTTGTGTATGGCCAAGCCTCTCCTCTCATGCTGTCCAGTAGAAGTCCCTGAGTTTCTGGACCCTGTCACTCATCACAGCAGCAAGCTAATGTGCTCTCGTGGGGCCTGTGTTGGACTTTTCCTTGTGCCCTCTGTAGCCACTGTTTTTTGAATGCCCACAGTATGCCAGGCACAATGCCAGGTTCCTAAGCTTATTTGCCGGGCGCTGTGCTGAGCCTTTACTTGCGTTATTTCATTCAGCTTTCATGCCCTCTAATGGCAGTGCCCTTAGTATCTCCATCCTGCATCTGAGAACACTGAGGCTTAGTGACTGAGGGGCGTGCCCCAGCTCACCTGGCTGGTAGGAGCCGGATTGCGTCCGCCAGAACCTGAGCTCTGCTTTATTTATGTATTTATTTATTTATTTATTTATTTATTTATGAGATGGAGTCTCACTCTGTCACCCAGGCTGGAGTGCAGTGGTGCAATCTCCACTGACTCCAGCCTCCACCTCCCAGGTTCAAGCAATTCTCTCACCTCAGCCTCCCAAGTAGGTGGGATTACAGGTGCCTGCCACCATGCCCGACTAATTTTTGTATTTTCAGTAGAGACAGGGTTTCACCATGTTGGCCAGGCTGGTCTCGAACTCCTGACCTCAAATGATCTGCCCACCTCAGCCTCCCAAAATGCTGGGATTACAGGTGTGAGCCACCGCGCCCAGCCTGAGCTCTGCTTTATACTCAAATCTTTCTCTTTTTTTTTGAGGCAGGGTCTCTGTCACCCAGGCTGGAGTGCAGTGGCACAATCACAGCTCACTGAAGCCTCAGTCTCCCAGGCTCAAGCGATCCTCCTGCCTCAGCCTCCCGAGTATGGGAGTACAGGCATGTACCACCATGCCTGGCTAATATTTTGGGGGGGTTTAGTAAACAAAGGGTCTCACTATATTGCCCAAGCTGGTCTGGAACTCTTGAACTCAAGCAATCCTCCAGCCTCAGTCTCCCAGAAGGCTGGGATTATAGATATAAGCCACTGTGCCCAGCCTATACTTGAATCTTTAATGTTCATCCCAAACCCTAAAGGTAGACATTACCCCCATTTTATGGAAAAGGACACTGAGGCTCAGAAAGGTGCTGTGACCCGGCCAAGGCCCCCTTGCTAGTGAGTGCAAAGCCAGGACTCGAACTGTCCCCCAGCTTCTGTCTCCTCCTGGGCCAGGCTTCCCCTGAGCTCCTCCCTGCCCCCAGCCCTGGCCTGCAGCTGCAAGGGTTATTTTCATCTCTCCTGTCATTCCAGCAAAACCACTGGGCCAGTGAGTCAGTCTTGTGGTTAAGGGAGGAAGGGTACTGTTGGGAGCCCGCAATGGAAGACGTTTCTTCAGCGGGTGGCCCCCGGGCCCTGCAGTACCCCTGCACCGAGAGAAGAGCCATGTTCCTCTAGGCCTGCCCATGGCTTTGGGAAGTCAGTGCCCTGGATAAGCCACCAGCCTTCCCCACAAAGGCTCAGGAGTGGCAGTTGAGAAGTATTCACTCCCAATTCACTTGGACCCCCTTGTCCTCTCCACCCAGGTGTCAGCGGTGCCCACTGTGCTGGCCATGAAGAATGGGGACGTGGTGGACAAGTTTGTGGGCATCAAGGATGAGGATCAGTTGGAGGCCTTCCTGAAGAAGCTGATTGGCTGACAAGCAGGGATGAGTCCTGGTTCCCTTGCCCGCGTGGGACCCCAATAGAACTCAGCCCTTCCATGCCAGCCCTTCCTGCTGCCTCCCTCCTGTCTGGCTCCTGGGGCCCATGCTTAGAGCCCAGGCTCCAGCCCTGAGTGCTTCCGAGCTGGCGGACTGCCCAGGGGCCATCAGAGGATGGTGGTGCTGCTGCTGATCCGGGGACCGCTGTCTTCCCTCCCATACGCCTTTCATCCCTCCTTCTAGGGCCTATGGCAGTTCTCCCAGGATGTGTGGCGAGAGCCTGGGCCAGCCCACAGCGTTCCTAGTCAGGCAGCCACACCTTGGTCCTCATCTTGGTCCCTTCCAATCTGAAACCTCGTGCCTGGCTCGTCTGCCACCTACATTTCTCTTTCCAGCTGCTGTTTTGTAAAAAGAAAAAGAAAAAAGAAGCCCAAACTAGTGAGAGTAATATCTAATTATCTCATTTTTTGTAGGTCTGTGATAAAGAACTTAGTCATCCCTTCCACCTCCTACTGTGAAGAACAGACCCTGGGTCCCACACTGAAATCCCCTCTAGTCACCCATTCCCACCCCCCAGGGAGCTGCCTCCCAGGCAGGGGGTGCAGAAAATGATTGATGGGCTGGGGAACCCTGGAGAGCCTCGACTCCGGAAGTCTCAAGGTGCCTCCTCCTCTCCTTAGCTGGCCCGTTGGTTTTCTGAGCAGGGGGCTGAACTGTGAACAAGTCAGACAAATAAAGCAAGGGTCTGCACCATCTGCAATGTCACATCTGTGTGGGCTCAGAGCACTTGTCACCCTTTCCCAGGGGGCTTGTCCACTGTCCCCACATCCTCCCCTAACTCCACAACACTCTCTCCAACCAGCCCTTCCTGTTCACTAACATGCTTGTCAGCAGTGGCTGCTATTCTAAGGATGCCATGTGCCAGTCCTCGTGCCCTCCTAAGGCAAGAGGCTGTTGTCCCCATTACCCCGATGTAGACACTGTGGCTCATGGGATGCAGAGCTGGGGTTTCTATCCAGACGTGGTTGCCTCTGAAACCTGGGCTCCCACAGCTGATCCCCTTGACCCTTCTGAGGCCTCCCCAACTGACAGGGCTCCTGGCTGCCCCAGCAGGTGCCTGGCCCTGTGGGGATCAGGCTATCCTTCCCATGGGTGCCTGCAGGAACTTCTGGGCCTTGGGACCAGACAACCCCTCTTGGCCCCCAGCTCCCCTTGGCCATAGAGGAGTGTGCCAAGGGAGCCAGGCTTGCCAGTCAAGAAAGCCTTCCTTCCGTCTGCCTTGCTCCTAGGGCCAAGCTGTCATTAGGGCTCGGTTGCCTGGATGAGGCCCCAGCTTCCTGTGAATCAGGTGCTTGGCGGCAGGGGGATCCTGACACCCTACTCCGTGGCCCCAGGGATGCCATGGGGCTGGTATTGCTCTGTTCTCAGAGGCTCACCCTGTTCTATTAGAACTGTCTGCATTCTCCAGGGGCCCACCCAAGGACTGCCTTGGGAAGGCTGCCGAGACCGAGGGAGGAGAGGGGCCCGTGGCCTCTGAAGGACCCCAGACCCTGGGGTCTGTCACAAGCACATGGAGGGGACAAAACCAGCAACTGGCGTCAGTGGAGACGGAAGCTGGTGGAGTGAACATCCTGCAAAGGCCAAAAGCCCTGGTTAAGATGAGCAGGACCTGCCCAGACTCAGGAGGCACCTCCCAGGTACCTGGCACTGTTTTGAGGGTCTCAGCTCAGCACAGCCCCGCGGGAAGGCGTTGCCCTTCAGATTCCACCTGAGACCTGCCCCGAGAGGTTGAGGAGCCTTCCCCAGGTCACAAAGCCCCTGAGTGGCTGAGCTGGGATTCAAGGCCAGGCAGCCTTCCACACCCACCCCCAGGAACCACCCTCGCTGCCTCCTGTCATCTGATAGAAGGTGGCGTGTGTGTGATCTTCATCTCACAACAGGCAACAAGGCAAGTGGTGTCAGCTCATTTGACACAGTGGGAGCAGAGCAGATCGGAGGTTGAGTAACTCTTTCAAAGACACCCAGTGAGCCCAGGGTGGGGCCAGAGCACAATGCTGGGGCGCCTCGACTCCCGAGCCCTGGCCCTTTCCACCGGACCCCACTGCCGCTCCTTAAAAGGCACCGTTTGCCACGCACTTTCTAAACACATTACCTCATCGAATTCCACTCTTGTGAGGCAAGTATTATTTCCATATCATAAGTGAAAAAAACAGTTCAGAGAAATCGACTTGCCCAAGGTCATGTCTGAAAAGTGGTGCCAAATTTGAACCCAGTGGGGGTCTGGCCTCTCTGCCCGGGTGGGCGTGGAGAAGTGTGGCAGAGGCCTTGGCCAGAGGCAGGACCCGGGCGCTGCTCCAGCTCCCTCCTTAAAAGGTGCGTTGCCCTGCAAGGTGAGCCGGTGGCTGTGGCCATCCCAGGTTGGCAGCCTCTGCCCGTGAGGCTGATCATGGCCGTGAGTCATGCTGGCTGTGCTCACGGAATCCTCCTGGTGATCCTGTTTGACCAATTCCAGGACACTGACCTCACCGGGGATGCCGCTGGCTCTGGGCTGTCAGCCCACGGTCATTCTCTGGGTGCCACATTGGGCCCCATGACTGTGGATGGGGTTGGCAGACACCTGCTGGAAGCCTTTAGCCACCAGGTTGGGAAGCCGGGGAAAGGGGACAAAGTCGCAGGCTTCCCGAGCCTGAAGACAACCCGGGATATGGCCCCTGTATATTTTTTCTTGACACCCAGTGCACGTGGTTGCCTGCAGAGAGGCGGCAGGGGTGGAAGCTCGAGTTTGCTGGGCTGGCTGCTTGACTTCCACGCTCCCTTGTGCCCCTCAGCTCCGCCCTACCAGGGAGCAGGTGCCAGCCCACAGAGGAGACGGAGCGCCAGGGTGGGCAGTGAGACAACTGAGACACCACTCTGGGCAGGCACGCTCACCTGCAGGCAGCGCCAGCATGGTTCAGAGTGAACGTTTGGTGGCCACTCACACAGGTTCCTTCTAAATATACAGAACATGGAGCCGGGCGCGGTGGCTCACGCCTGTAATCCCAGGACTTTGGGAAGCCGAGGCGGGTGGATCACCTGAGGTCAGGAGTTCGAGACCAGCCTGGCCAACATGGCGAAACCCCTTTTCTACTAAAAATACAAAAATTTGCCGGGCGTGGCAGTGCACGCCTGTAATCGCAGCTACTTGGGAGGCTGAGGCAGGAGAATCGCTTGAACCTGGGAGGCAGAGGTTGCGGTGAGATGAGAACACACCATTGCACTCTAGTCTGGGCAACAGAGCAAGACTCCATCTCAAAAATAATAATAATAATAAAAATAAACTTGCAGAACACGGGAGAGAAACTGACCCTGTCATCAAGGAGCTTATTATGCCCAGAGACCTCAGAGCACGGGGCGCCGGTCATCCCTGAGCTGATGTCAGGGCAGCCTAAGGCACCTCAGGCTACCCAGCATCCCTTGTGAGGCAGAGGGAAGGGGAGGCTTGCCCAGGTCACAGCACCTTTGTAGTAGGGCTAGGATTTTAACCCGGGCTCTCACTCCAGCCTACCCTAAAGTGGAAATGAGGTAGGGCCTTTTCTACGCTGGCCTCAGGAGAGGGGAGTGAGGAGGGCCGCTGTGTTTCTGAGGAGGTAGAACTCGGGTAAGGACCTGTCAGGTCAAGAGGATGTTGACGGCGCTGCTGCCACTGCCTTCCGAGCAGTGCCTGCCCCTACCAGGGGCCAGGGCCAGCTCAACCCCCACCCCGGCCGCCTGGGGAAAGCTGCTCCAGGAAGCGAAGGTAGTGCTGGCCAAGCTGCGGAAATCCCGAATGTGTGGGCTCTGGGCAGGGAACGGCCCAGAAAACAATGTTGGGGCCGTGTCCATGGAGGGCAGGATGCTGGCGACGGTAAGGCTGCCAGGCCTGCAGCCGCAGTTCCTCTCCGATGCCTGGAACACCAGCTGCAGGCGTGACCCTTACCCTGGCCAGGGCTGGGGTCCCCGGCTCTGCAGGAAGCCTGGGCCACTGGTTGTTCCAAGGAACCTCCCTTTCCAGCCACCTCCTGGCTGCAGGCCCCCCCAGGCCCTTCCACGGTGATAGAAGTAGGGCGGGAAGAATCTGATCTGGATTCAGATCCTGCCTGTGCCACCTGCAAGTTGTGCGACCTTGGGCAGGCTGCTTTTCCATTCTGAGGCTCTGTGTTCACGGTGGTGAAATAGGCTGGCAGTGACAGCTGGCACTTACTGAGTGTGTGCTACATGAATCCTCTCACTGAGTCTCCACCGCAACCCCAACAGCAGGGACCATTGTTACCGCCATTTTACAGACAAGGAAACTGAGGCTTGGAGGGCTTAAGTAACTTGGCATGAATGGAGTTCAGAGCTCAGATTTGAACTCCGATGTGGCCGGACACGATGGCTCACGCCTGTAATCCCAGCACTTTGGGAGGCCAAGGCAAGAGGATCGTTTGAGCCTAGGAGTTCGGGACCAACCTGGGCAACATAGCAAGACCCTGTCTTTACACAAAATTTAAAAAAAAATTAGCCTGGCATGGCGGTGTGCGCCTGTAGTCCCAGCTACTTGGGAGGGTGAGGTGGGAGGATCACTTGAGCCCAGGAGTTTGAGGCTATAGTGAGCTGTGATCTCACCACTGCACTCCAGCCTGGGTGACAGAGTGAGATCTTGTTCTAAAAAATAAAAATATAAAAAATAAATTTTATTTATTTATTTTATTGTTTTTGAGATGGAATCTTGCTCTGTTGCCCAGGCTGGAGTAGAATGGCATGATCTCTGCCCACTGCAACCTCCTTCGCCTCCTGAGTTCAAGCAGCTCTCCTGCCTCAGCCTCCCGAGTAGCTGGGATTACAGGCATTTGCCACCATGCCTGGTTAATTTTTGTATTTTTAGTAGAAACAGGGTTTCACCATGTTGGCCAGGCTGGTCTCAAACTCCTGACCTCAAATGATCCGCCCACCTCAGCGTCCCAAAGTGCTGGGATTACAGGCGTGAGCCACCGTGCCCGGCCCAAAAATAAATTTTAAAAAAGGGGAAAAGAATGAACCCCAATGTCTTTAATTTCAAATTCTCTTTGTTCTTGCTCATTAGCTATACTGCTTTCCTTTTGGGACAAGGTTTTCACCATTTTGAGCCCCAGTTGCACCATCTCCAAGTTGGGGCTCATGACAGTCCCTGCAAATGAGGTCACGGCTCAGCAGGTGGAAGCACGCTGGCACCGATTGGAAGTTCCAGAAGTGTTATCTGTGTGGCTTTCTCCTTTCCCCTACCCCCAGCCACATCTTAAACAGGAAACACCGGGCTTCCCAAGGTAAGGACCCCAGCACCATGGGAGGGGCCCGTCGCTGTACCAGGCTGAGGGCCTTACATTCAGCCCTGTGACCTGGCCCTGGTCCCTGCCACCACCTCCTCCTGCTCTGGAGCTGGCTTGGTGGTGCCTGTGTCTCAGGCAGCCCTAGGGAGTTGGAGGCAGTGACCTCACCCTTGGAGAATGCCCACTGGAATTCACCCTGAACCTGCTCCTCTGTTCTCCATGCCTCCCAGCCACTTCTGAGCGCACTCTCACGCTTACCTCTGTGGCAGCCAACGGAGCGTCTCCTGGGAGCAAGAACACTCCTGCTAGACAGCTGTTAACTACCAACTGGAGGACAAGCCAGTTCTCCACCTTCAGCCAGCTTGCTGGGTGAGCTTAGGCAAGTAGCTGTCTGTCTCTGGTCTGCCCCCTACCTCAGTGTCCCAGCAAAGAAGTCATCCAGTGTCCAGCCTCTGTGCCGATACCACCAGAGGTGCCTTCTTCGACCTAACACCTGTGGAAGGAGGGACTGATTCCATTTCATACATGTGGAGACAGAAGCCCAGAGAGGTAGTGACCGTGCCTAAGGCCACACCCTGGGAAATGGACTGAGGGTGGCTGACCCCATGCCCTGCTCCTCCTCCTCTGCCACACTGCTGCTCCCAGGAGTGTCAAAGGATCCCTCCTCTCATGCCCAGAGTAGGGACCTTGATCCGCTTTTTTTTTTTTTTAGATGGAATTTTGCTCTTTTCCCCCAGGCTGGAGTGCAGTGGCACAATCTTGGCTCACTGCAAGCTCCACCTCCTGGATTCAAGCGATTGTCCAGCCTCAGCCTCCCGAGTAGCTGGGATTACAGGTGCCCAGCTAATTTTTGTATTTTTAGTAGAGATGGGGTTTCACCATGTTGGCCAGGCTGGTCTCAAAATCCTGACCTCAGGTGATCTACCCACCTCGGCCTCCCAAAGTGCTGGGATTATGGGCACGAGCCACCGTGCCAGGTGGAGCCTCTCTTTTATCCACCTCCCCCAACCCCCACCCCACAAGGAGGCAGGAGATTCCATTTCCTCATGATCCACTCCTGAGGCGGGAATACTCTCTCCAGGCCAAACTGGCTACCTCAGCCAGCAAGCGTCTGTGCGGAGCCCCTCTGGGCCTGCTGGGTGATAGGAACTAGAGCAAGACACAGCCCCTGCCTTCCAGGAGTTCACAGCAAACACATGGACACATCTAAAGTCTAAATGCTACAGGAGAGATGACATTTACCACCATGGTGACAGAGTACAGACTGGCCGCAAGCCCTGAAAAGCAGCACATCTGCAAAAGGAGATTGTCGGGTAAAGCATGGGAAGGAGGTGATGCTTGAGAAAAGTTGTTTTTTGTTTTTGTTTTGAGACAGTCTAACTCTGTTGCACAGGCTGGAGTGCAGTGGTGTGATCTTGGCTCACTGCAACCTCCACCTCCCAGGTTCAAGCAATTCTCCTGCCTCAGCCTCCTGAATAGCTGGGATTGCAGGCACCTGCCACAAGGCCCAGCTAATTTTTGTATTTTTAGTAGAGACAGGGTTTCACCATGTTGGCCAGGCCGGTCTCAAACTCCTAACCTCAAGTGATCCACCCACTTTGGCCTTCCAAAGTGCTGGGATTACAGGTGTGAGCCACCTTGCCGGGCCAAGAAGAGTTTTGAAGAATCGACTGGGACTCGTCCTGAGAGGCAAGTGGTGGGAAGGGTATTCCAGGCAGAAGGGAGAGCGTATGCACAGCACAGAGGCAGGAAAGTCCATGGTCCATCCCAGGAGGAGGCTTTGGTGGGGCCTTGGAGTCACACAGTCCTGGCTCCAGTCACAGCCCTCTCCGTCACTAGCCAAGCCTCAGTTTCCTTCATCTCTGAAATGGGAGGACAGGACCCTCCTCATGGTTATGAGATCGTAAATGTAATGTCAGAACACAATGCAATTACGTGGTAAGCGCCCTATTAAACGCTTCTCTTATTGTGTGTTAGTAATGTGTATTAGTTTGCTAGGCCAGCCATCACAAAATATCACAGACTGGGTGGTTTAAACAACAGATGTTTATTTTTTCACAGTTCTGGGGCTGGAAGTCCAAAATCAAGGTGCTGGCAGGGTTGGTTTCTCCTGAAGCCTCTCTGCTTGGCTTGCGGGTGGCCACCTTCTTGCTGGGTCCTCACATGGATTTTCCTCTGGGCACACACATCCCCCAAGTCTCTCTCTCCTTTTTTTTGTTTTGTTTTGTTTTGAGACGGAGTCTCGCTCTGTCACCTATTACCCAGGCTGGAGCACAGTGGCACAATCTCGGCCCACTGCAACCTCTGCCTCCTGGGTTCAAGCGATTCTCCTGCCTCAGCCTCCTGAGTAGCTGGGACTACAGGCACCTGCCACTACACCTGGCTAATTTTTGTATTTTTAGTAGAGACGGGGTTTCACCATGTTGGCCAGGCTGGTCTCTAACTCCTGACCTCAGGTGATCCACCTGCCTTGGTCTCCCAAAATGCTGGGATTACAGGCATAAGCCACCATGCCCAGCCCAGTGCCAGTTTATGGAGGGGGACATGGAGGTACAGAGGGCTTTGGGTTATGACTCAAGGTCACACAGCTAGGAAGGAGCAGACAGGATTTAAACCTAGACAGTCTGACTCTGGGGTCCCTGCTCCTCTCCCCATGCCCTCTCCACCCTCCCACACACACAGCAGGAGCTCCCTGCACTCCACAAACACCCTTTTGCATGTCACTCAGCTCCGGTCAAACTGTTAACTTCTCCCCCATTGTCGGATACTAAGGAATTTTTCAGTTAATATTTTTCCATTATAAATGAGGTTGGAACAAACCTGTTTGAACATAAGAGCTTATTTCTTCTTTTGGATTTTATACAAGTGGGATTTCCAGGGCAAAGGGAGCATTTTATTGTCCCCGAGAGCGGGGAAGGAGTGAAACCCGAGCTGGGCCCCGCCTGCACTGCCCACCTGCCGGTTTACTTTGTGGGAGGGGAGGCTCGGCAGTAGGGATGTCCTGAGACTTGGCTCGGCACTGCCCCACCTCCAGCCACCTCTTTGTCTCTGCCGCCTCTGCCTTAGAAAGTTCCGGGCCCCAGCCAGGCACGGTGGCTCACGCCTGTAATCCCAGCACTTTGGGAGGCCGAGGTGAGCAGATCACGAGGTCAGGAGATGGAGACCATCCTGGCTAACACGGTGAAACCCCATCTCTACTAAAAATACAAAAAATTAGCCAGGCGTGGTGGCGGGAGGCTGAGGCAGGAGAATGGCGTGAACCCGGGAGGCGGAGCTTGCAGTAAGCCTAGATCGCGCCACTGTACTCCAGCCTGGGTGACAGAGCAAGACTCTGTCTCCCCAAAAAATCCAAAACAAAACAAAATAAGACAAAGAAAGTTCCAGGCCCCAAATCCTGGTTTTTCTGAGATTCTGAGTTCAAAATAATGGTTCCTATAAGGATATGGTCATTTTTTATTTTATTTTTGAGATGGAGTCTCACTCTGTTACCCAGGCTGGAGTGCAGTGGCAGGATCTCAGCTCACTGCAACCTCCACCTCCCAGGTTCATGTGATTCCCCTACCTCTCAGCCTCCTGAGTAGCTGGGATTACAGGCACCTGCCACCACGCCCGGCTAATTTTTGTATTTTTAGTAGACACAGGGTTTCACCATGTTGGTCAGGCTGGTCTGGAACTCCTGACCTCAGGTGATCCTCCCACCTCGGCCTCCCAAAGTACTGGGATTATAGGTGTGAGCCACTGCGCCCAGCCTGGTTTCCCATATGATTTCCCCTATTAGTAGTTCCCATCTCGAAGGGTCCCTATGATGTTGAGATAGGGAAGGAAGCTAGCAAGTTTGGAGCAGGAGAGGGAAATGGAAGCCCAGAGAGGGCAGGGGCCTTGCCTGGGCTCAGCCAGCAGCGAGAGCAGAGAATCCCAAGGTGGCCCTGAGCTCCCACTACCAGTCCTCGGTTTGCTCTTGACTGAGGCTGGCAGTGAGGTTGAGGGAGAGAAAATTATTTCTCAAAGTGGTGGTTGGGGAGTGACAGGAAGCAGTTCCCTTAGGGAGTCTCTTTCCCAAGGGTCAAATCCCTGGATCTTGGAAAGCTCGTTGTTTCACATCTGCACTTAGTTGCCCGACTGGGGACCCCATGCAGCCTGGGAATGACCGTGAAATGGCTGCCCAGTGGGCAGGGTGTTTGCTCTGCACTTGGCCCTGACCACTGAGCCACAGCCAGGCCGGCTGCAGGGCTGCAGCTCTCAGCCCACAAGAACAGGAGCCCCCGAAGGAGGGGCAGAGGCTCTGCTGGGCCAGGCCCAGGCCCTTTTTGCCCTACTCTGGCCCCACCCCCAGGGGCTGTGGGGAACAGGCAGAGAGGCCAGCTTCCTGGACAGTGGCCTGGGAGGATGAGGCAGGCAGGGAAGGAGCCGGAGCTGCTCGGGCCAGGGTAGCCTGGGAAGATGAAGTTGGTGTTTGGCTAGTGAGGCCAGGGCGCACCCCCACACTCACTCAGGCATGCGCGGCCTCTGGTGCCTCTCCAGAGGATGCATTTCCCAGAACTCAGCTCCCCACAAGTCATGACTTCAGGGCAGGAAGGCCCTCAGGGACCAGCTCCAACTGCCTGAGTTGACAGAGAAGGTCCAGGGCCAGCCAAAGGAAGGGACAGGCCTGAGGTCAGCTGGTGAGTGGCCACGTCAGGAGGGGGTTCTTCAGAAACCCTGGTCGATCACTCCCTTCTCCAGCCGTCGAGGAACCAAACTGTTGGCATTGTGTCTATACATCTGTCTCCCCCACCTGGCTAGAGTCCCACAGGTGGGGGCCAGCCTTCTCTCAGTTCCTGGTCCCAGGCCCAGGGCCTGGTGCAGGAGTGGCCCATGAGTCCCTGTCAAAGTGAAGCAAACTCCTACCTGGGCCTTCTTTTTTTTCTTTTTTGAGACAGAGTCTCACTCTGTCGCCCAGGCTGGAGTGCAGTGGCACGATCTCAGCTCACTGCAACATTTGCCTCCCGGGTTCAAGCGATTCTCCTGCCTCAGCCTCCCGAGTAGCTGGGACTACAGGTGCGCACCACCACACCTGGCTTGTTTTTGTACTTTTAGTAGAGACGGGGTTTCACCATGTTGGCCAGGCTGGTCTCGAACTCCTGACCTCAAGTGATCCACCCGCCTCAGCCTCCCAAAGTGCTGGGATTACAGGCGTGAGCCACCACACCTGGCCTCAATGCCCTTCCAATGTCCTTGTCCCCCATCCCTACTGTGCTGTGAGTCTAACTTTTTTGGGGAATCAGAGTGTGACTTTTTAAAATCTGTTGGACCTTCTGGGCTGGAGAGCCTGTGTCCCCTTCAGGAACGCAGTAAAATACTTGGGAATAATGGGACGGGTGCAGGGGAGGTTGGAAGGTGGCGGTCCTCAGAGACTAACGTTTAGAAGTTGATCTTGGGTGACCAACCATCCTGGCTGCCTGAGACTAAAGAGATTCCTGGGACGTGGAACTCTCAGTGCTAAAATAATAATAATAATAATAATACACATTGGGCCGGGCACAGTGGCTCACGCCTGTAATCCCAGCACTTTGGGAGGCTGAGGCGGGCAGATCACCCGAGGTTGGGAGTTTGAGTCCAGCCTGACCAACATGAAGAAACCCCATCTCTACTAAAAATACAAAATTAGCTGGGCGTGTGGGCAACTGTAATCCCAACTACTTGGGAGGCTGAGGCAGGAGAATTGCTTGAACCTGGGAGGTAGAGGTCGCAGTGAGCCGAGATCGCGCCATTGCACTCCAGCCTGGGCGACAAGAGCAAATCTCCGTCTCAAAAAAAAAAAAAAAAAGTACACGTTGGTCACCCTGATGCCGACTCTTCCACTCATTGTGTAACCGTGGGGAAGTTACTTCACCTCTAATCACTCATAGGTTTATCTGGAAAACGGGGTCCATATCCATGCTGTGTCCCTCCTGGTTGCCATGAAGCTCTGGGCAACTGAGGGGGGAAGCATTAGAATGCCCTACATCCCGGCAGATGTGAGGGTTGATGACCATCACAGTTAGGGGTCTCTTCTCTCCCCGACCCCTACTGCCTGAAATTCATTCATTCGCCAACAAACACTGGTTCAAGATCTATATATGTGCCAGGAACTAGGTATGCATAGCTGGAAAAGGAAGAGGCCAGCCTTCATGGCACTCACAACACATACATGAGCAATTAGAGCACAGGAAGAGGAATTTGGTCAACGAGTTTTTCATGAGCAGCTACTATATGCCAGGCATTTTACAAACATTAACTCATTCGATCCTCACAATAACACAGTGAGGTGGGGATTATTTTACCCCCATCTTGCAGATGAAGAAATTGATGCTCAGAAAGGTTAAGTAATCACTACAAATGTCAGGAAGAAGACGCTAAGAAGTATCTCTCTGAAGGGTGAGCACGTGTCTGGGAGTGTGCAAGGAAAGGGCTTTCCAGAAAGGAGCAGCAGGTGCAGGGCTGGGAGGCACGGAACGGCAACCAGGGAACTGTAAGCTCACAGAGCCCTGTGCACTGAGCCGAGGGAGGACACTCAGGTGATCGGGAGGCTGTGAAGCGGAGTAACTGTCAACGAGTGGACGGCAAGTAGCAATTGGACAGATTTGGGTTTTTAAGGACCCGGGCTATGAAGAGAGCTTGGAGGGAGAATATGGTGGGCTGCGTCATGCTGGCAGCTTCCTCTTAGGGTTAAAGTCTTGTCTGGCCAAGAAGGGCCCAGTTAGCCAAACACTTCCAGTGGATCCAAGGCTCATGTTTACCGAGGCTTGGGCTCAGCCTGGCTAGGAGACTTCCTTTGTGCCAGTTAGAGAAAGGCACCTGCTTGGGGCTGACCGGATTGGGGAAGCCTCGCCATGTAGCCGGGAGGCTCAGGCTTGGTTATCTGGGGGCTCCGAGGTGAGCTCACTTAAAGGACCCTCCCTCGGCTATCTAGCGAGGACCTGCGGCCCAGGTGGGGTGAAGGAAAAAACGCCACACAGCACAAACCGAGTCAGTGCCCTAGCAGGGCCTGAGGAGGGCAGACCCCTGGGGAAGGCAGGCCCCAGGGTTTCTGCAAGTTGAGCCCCTGCAGGGTGGAGCCCGTCGTGAGTCTTAGCCTGGGTAGGGACCCCTCTCGGGACCTGGGGACGCCGCTGAGGAGGCTCCACCCTCGCAGAGAAGTTTCCCCCCTCGGGGGTTCGGCCGGGCCTCGGTGCGGAGCCAGCTGGGTGGAACGCCCCGCCCCTCCCGCGCCGAGCCTGCCCATATAAGGCGAGCGTCGCGCCGCGGCGCCCTTTATGGAGCGGTTGTCGTCACCTGCGTCCGCCCGCCTTTCACCGCAGCCAGGCCGCCAGCCCGCCGGGGGCACCTCTCCAAAGCCACGCCCCTCCGCGCCTCTCTGCCAGGAAGCGCCGCCCCGGCCCAGTCCGCCGTCCGCGGGGAGGCAGCCCAGGCGCGCACGACCCCCTCGAACACACCCCGGCCCCGCGCACCTGCTCCTCATCGTGTCCGGATGCGCAGGCGCCTGGGACCAGCGGAACAAGCCGGGGAGGGCTTGTTCGGCCACAAAGTTGGTTGCCGGGGTGGGGAGAATGTGCTGGATTACCCACCCACGAGCCAGGAGTCGGGGTGGGAGGAATCAGCCTTCCTCCAGGACGGCGCAGCCCACCGGGCGCCTGCTAAGTGCCCAGCACTGACCTCACCTTTAGAAAAGAAATCTACCTATGCCACGATGCGGAGTGAGTGCCGCTCCGCAAAAGCCAGTGCTTTAGAACTGCAGGGCCTGGTTCAAATCTAGCTAGGTTGCTTACTGTTATGTAATTCTTTCCTTCTTTCTCTTTTTTCTTTTTCTTCTTTTTCTTTTTTTTTTTTTTTTTTTTTTTTTTTTGAGACAGAGTCTCGCTCTGTTGCCAGGCTGGAGTGCAGTGGCGTGATCTCGGCTCACTGCAACCTCCGCCTCCCGGGTTCAAGCTATTCTCCTGCCTCAGCCTCCCAAGTAGCTGAAACTACAGGCGCACACCACCACGCCTGGCTAATTTTTGTATTTTTAGTAGAGACGGGGTTTCGCCATATTGGCCAGGCTGGTCTTGAACTCCTGACCTCGTGATCCACCCTCCTCGGCCTCCCAAAGTGCTGGGATTACAGGCGTGAGCCACTGCGCCCGACCTGTAATTTTTCTTTTCTGTTTTTTAGAGACAGGGTCTCGCTCTGTCACCCAGGCTAGAGTTCAGTGGCGCTGTCGGCTCACTGCAGCCTCCAACTCCTGGGCTCAAGTGCTGCTGCCATCTCAGCCTCCTCAGTAGCTGGGACTACAGGTACACGCCACCACGCCCAACAGTGACAGGTTGGACACTACTGTACTGCCACGCTGGGTCGGGTGAGTGCCTCTCTCCTTCCCATCTGTGGCCAAAAGGGGAGAGATCTGAGAGGGAGGCTTCTGAGCCCCTGGCAGCTCCAGAGCCTGGCTCCGCCTCGGCGGCGCACACCTGCAGCACGTGAACTCCTCCATAGGTCCCCACTTGGCTGCCTCTAGACTCAAGTCTCCTCACCTGGGTTATTACTAACCCCTGCCCCTGATTTCCAGATCCCCACTCCAGGCATCCACCCGAACACCAGAACCTGAGGATTTTCTAAACTATGAATCTGACTGCTTATCTCTTTCCTGTTTAAACCCTCCTACCGGCCTGGCGCGGTGGCTCACACCTGTAATCCCAGGACTTTGGGAGGCCGAGGCAGGAGGATCACTTGAGGTCAGGAGTTCGAGACCAGCTTGGCCAGCCTGGTGAAACCCCATCTCTACTAAAAATACAAAAATTAGCCGGGCATGGTGGCGAATGCCTGTAATCCCAGCTACTCGGGAGGCAGGAAAATCGCTTGAACCCGGTGGGCAGAGGTTGCAGTGAGCTGAGATCGCACCACTGCACTCCAGCTTGGGTGACAGAGTGAGACTCCATCTCAAAAAATTAATTGATTAATAAATAAGTTAATTAAATAAAATAAACCCTCCGACTTTTCCCCAGTGCCTGCAGGAGAAAGACCCAGGCCACAGGTGCCCTCCAGGTTCTGGGGTCACAGACCTCTGGGCTCTTCTACCACTTCCTTCTTTCACTTTACTCTCAGGCCAGCCTGAACCCTTTGCAGTTTCCTGAGTACACATTCAGTAAATATTTATTGTGTTAGGATGCCACACCAGGAATCCTGCTCAGCAGTGGTGAGCAGCCCAGCAGGCATGGTCCCTGCCCTCAATACATAAATGTAAAATAAAATTTTTCCTTTCCCTCTCTTTTTTTTTTTTTTTTTTCGAGACAGGGTCTCACTCTGTCACTGAGGCTGGAGTGTGGTGGCACAATCATGGCTCACTGCAGCCTTGACCTCCTAGGCTTAAGCAATCCTCCCACCTCAGCCTCCCGAGTAGCTGGGACCACAGGCATGGGTTACCACACCTGGCTAATTTTTGTATTTTTTGTAGAGACGGGGTTTTGCCATGTTGCCCAGGCTGATCTCAAACTCTTTGGCTCAAGCGATCCACCTGCCTCAGCCTCCCAAAGTGCTGGGATTATAGACTTCAGCCACTCGCCAGGCGAATGTTTCTTCTCATGTGGCATGTGCTGTGGAAGACCTACACGGTACCAACAGAGTTTTTGCCTTTTGCCTGGAAGAACCCCCCCTACCCCACTCAGCCCTGCTCTAGACCTCTGCTTGGTGACCCTGTCACCAGCCTCTTAGATGCCTGTACAGTGTCATCAGCTCCGAAGGTCCCCCTTGCATGTGCCTTTATTGGGGCTGTTATCACCCTGGGGTGGGGATTTGCACACCTGGCTCCCACATTTGACCACTTTCCTTGGGGAAAGTGGACTTATTCTGGTGGTCTGATGTCCCCAGTGGCTTGTGAGGTACACAGCACCTAGTAGGTGCACAGCAAGCCTCTGCTCCAGGACCCCATCCCCATGAATCCATGGCTCAGTCACACATTTTCTTGATTCATCCATTAAATCAGAGGGGCCAACTTCCCCTCCCTCTGCCAGACCCTGATACAGACCAATTGATTCAGAGGGTAAAGGGGTCGTCCTGCCTGGCTCCTCAGGGTTGCAGAAGATATGACTGGCAGAGAAAGTGACTTTTTTTTTTTTTGAGACAGAGTCTACCTCTGCCTCCCACGCCGCAGTGCAATGGCTCAATCTTGGCTCACTGCAACCTCCGCTTCCCAGGTTCAAGCAATTCTCCTGCTTCAGCCTCCTGAGTAGCTGGGACTACAGGCACGTGCCACCACACCTGGCTAAT
The DNA here is from genome assembly GCF_000001405.40 of Homo sapiens. NCBI lineage: Eukaryota > Metazoa > Chordata > Mammalia > Primates > Hominidae > Homo > Homo sapiens. Next base: position 36,452,240 of record NC_000022.11, on the reverse strand, counting down.
TTTTGTATTTTTAGTAGAGACGGGGTTTCACCTGTTGGCCAGGCTGGTCTCAAACTCCTGACCTCAGGTGATCTGCCTGCCTCGGGGCCTCCCGAAGTGCTGGGATTATAGACCTGAGCCACCGCGCCTGGCCAGAAGTGATATTTGAACAGGACCTCCTTGGGTGAAGGAAGTGTTGGGCATCAGGCCGAGAGAGGCGGAGTTTGAAATAACTGAAGAGGTGTGAACATGGGCAGCTGCTGGGGTGGGGCCCCCCCGAGGGTGTGTCCCCAGTGTGTGGTCGGAAGTGCGGGCCAGGAGCTGAGGAAGGCAGTGAGCTCCGCAGGACGGAAGGGCCTTGTGTGCTGGTTCACTTCCCCCTGTTGGGGAACAAAGGCTTACGACGCATGAGCCAAGACAGTGAGTGACATTTCAAGGTTTTGTGACTGTGACCCAGAGTAAGAAATACATTACATCACAACCTGGCAGAGCGTGCAACATGGAAACAAGAGTTTCATGAGACAGTTTGCTTTTTTTGTTTTTTCTTTTTTAAAGAGACAGGATCTCACTCTCACCCAGGCTGGAGTTCAGTGGTGCCTCAACCTCCTGGGCTCCAGTGATTCTCCTGCCTCAGCCTCTCAAGTAGCTCTGGTTGCAGGCACCAGCCACTGCACCAGGCCATTTTGACCATTTTATTTTATTGTATTTATTTTGTTTTTCAGAGTTGGGGCCTTGCTCTGTCACCCAGGCTGCCGTACCATGGCACGATCATGGCTCACTGCAGCCTTGAACTCCTGGGCGCAAGCAATCCTCCCGCCTCAGCCTCTGGAGTAGCTAGGACTATAGGCACACACCACCATACCCGGCTAATTTTTTCTTTCTTTCTTTTTTTTTTTTTTTTTGTAGGAATGGGGCCTCACTGTGTTGCCTAGGCTGATTTTAACTCCTAGCCTCAAGCAGTCCTCCTGCCTTGGCCTCCTAAAATGCTGGGATTAGAGGCATGAGCCACCACACAGCCAAGACAGTTTGCTATTACTACCCAGGATGTGCTCTGAGATTTTCCCTTCTATTTTATCATCGTCATTATTAAATCCTTATTTGCGGCCAGGCACGGTGGCTCACGCCTATAATCCCAGCAGTTTGGGAGGCCGAAGTGGGCAGATTGCCAGAGCTCAGGAGTTCAAGACCAGCCTGGGCAACATGGTGAAACCCCGTCTGTACTAAAATACAAAATATTAGCCAGGCATGGCGGAGTACACCTGTAGTCACAGTTACTTGGGAGGCTGAGGCAGGAGAATTGCTTGATCCCAGGAGGTGGAGGTTGCAGTGAGCCAAGATCACACCACTGCACTCCAGCCTGGGTGACAGAGTGAGACTCCATCTCAAAAAAAAATTCTGATTTACTCAGAGTACCGACTTAATTAATTTCAAGATCCACCAGTGGGTCATGACTTACAATTTTTTGGTTTTTGGTTTTTGGTATTTTTTTGAATAGAGACGAGTTCTCCTATGTTGCCCAGGCTGGTCTTGAACTCCTGGGCTCAAATGATCTTCACGACTCAGCCTCCCATAGTGCTGGGATTACAGACATGAGCCGCCGCACCCAGCCATACCTGAAGTTTTAAAAAGGGATTCGAGATGGGCACAGTGGCTCACGCCTGTAATCCCAGCGTGTTGGGAGGCCGAGGCGGGTGGATCATTTGAGTTCATGAGTTCGAGACCAGCCTGGCCAACATGGTGAACCCTCGTCTCTTCTAAAAAATAGAAAAATTAGCCGGGCGTGGTGGTGCACGCCTGTAATCCCAGCTAATCGAGAGGCTAAAGCAGGAGAATTGCTTGAACCCTGGGAAGTGGAGGTTGCAGTGAGCCGAGATAGCGCCACTGCACTCCAGCCTGGGTGATGGAGCGAGACTTCATCTCAAAAAAAAGAAGGGATTCCTCTAAGCATCCTTCCACTCCAGGCATAATGGTCTGGTGGTGGTTCAAAAGGTATTTTAGCTTTTAGAATTCTGGGAGATAGATCTTCACAGCTATTTTAACTTGCAAAGCAGCCTGAGGGGATGGGGCAGGTCCCTTCTCCCCCTCCAACTCCCCACCATCAGAATACCCCATGGCTGCCCAGTTGGTTCCCAGGTCAGTCTGAGATCCAAACAAAAGGGGAGGAAGCAACCTCAGGACGTTTCCCGTCACCCTGTTTCCCATCACCCCCAGCTCCGGGAAGTCCCCACGTGGCAACCAGTTCCCTTGCCAGGCTGGCTTCGGATGCCACCATCCCTGGGAGGGGGTTGTGGAGGAAAGAAGGGTGGTTGAGGGCCCAGCTGGGTTCTGGCCTCTGTCCCACCATGAGGGGCCAATTCCCTTTGTGTAGGGGACGGCTCTTGCCTGCTCTGCCTGCCTGCCTGTAGGCCTGGCACTCAGCAGAGGGTGGATCCACGGCTCAGAATCCCCACCTCCACCCCCACCCAAGCCTCTGTCCAAGTTCCTCTTCTGTCTGGGGTCTCTGAGGCCCCTGGAGAGATTGGAGAAACCCGGAATGGTGGGGGCGCTACCAACTCATAACCTTTGGCTCTTATAACATTGGATGGAATCCAACCCCCTCATTTTAGAGAGGTGGAAGCTGAGGCCCAGAGATGGGAAGGCGCTCACTCACGATTACACAGGAGTTGGTCTCAGAGTGATTGCAGAAGACACAGGTCTCCTGACTCCAAATCCAGTGCTCCACGTTGGGGGCTGCTAGGGAAGGGAAATGTTCTGTCCGGGAGAAACTGGACAGCCCAGGGGGCCTGCGTCGTGGCTGTGCTTCTGCCGGCCCCTTTCTGTGGACCTGCCATAGTTCCTGCCCTACCTGGTGTATAAAACAAGGATATGGGGCTGGCGATGTCCCCAAGTCCTTCAGGTTCTGAGCCTGTGCTGCCCTGGCCTCTCCTTTCTGTGTGCTTATGTGGGACGTGGGGGAGCCCTCCCTCCCCACCTAGAAGAGTGACAGGAGGAGGATGAAACCTGTGGGATCCTGTTTCCTCACAGGAACTTGCTGCTTCCCTGAGGCCTCAGAATTGGAATAGTGGCTTCTAGTCCTTTCTCTGGAGACCCTGGATATAGCAGAGGCCCCACAGTCACGCTTTGCCTTCTCAGTTCAATTTCCTTTTCCTTGTGTGTGTCTCTTCTTCAACTGGACCTACAGCTTCTTGGGGCGGGGACTGAGACCCTACGTCTGCAATCAGGGACTCCTACAGCCGGGAGGCATTTGGGTCTCTTCCCAGCGCAGGCAACGTAAGTCCTAGTTAGGATCTGGGGCTCTTTGCAGAAAGTGCTGGTGTCCTTGAGAGCAGTTTATTTAGCCTCTCTGGGCTCAGAGTCTCCATCTGTGCACTGAGAATCATCGTCATCACTTTGAAAATTAAATGAAGGACCACATGTAAGGCTCTTAGTGTTGTGGCCAGCACACAGCAGGCACTTGGTAGTTATGTGTGGCAGGGATGTATTAACCTAGTTTCTCCCCACGTGGTGCAAGTGCCGCTGGGGAGGAGAGAAGTCACATTGCTTTGCCCAGAACTGTGTTAAGGGCTTCACCTATGTTATCCCAATGTGCCTCACCGGGACCCTGTGAGATAAATGTGCTCATTGCCTGTTTCACAGACAGGACACTGAGGCTCAAAGAATGAAGGGTCTTGCCTCCATCACACAGCCAGTGGGGAGGGAACAAACCCAGGTCTCACTGGCAGCAGACACTGAACCTCCCTCCCATTCCCACCAGATGGAACCCAGTCCCTTTCTCAAGTCCCGACTAAAGAGATTTTCTGGGCCAGGCGCGGTGGCCGACGCCTGTAATCCAAACACTTTGGGAGACTGAGGTGGGTGGATCACCTGAGGTTAGGAGTTTGAGACCAGCCTGGCCAACATGGTGAAACCCCATCTCTACTAAAAATACAAAAATTAGCCAGGCAAGGTGGCATGCACCTGCAATCCCAGCTACTCAGGAGGCTGAGGCAGGAGAATCACTTGAACCCGGGAGGCAGAGGTTTCAGTGAGCTGAGATCGCGCCACTGCACTCCAGCCTGGGTGACATAGTGAGACTCTGTCCCCAGCAACAAAAAGAGATTTTCTGAAATTGAACAGCTCTGATGGTTGGCCTGTTCTTCCTTCTACTGAGATTTTATGGTATCCAGCCATGGAAACTGACTAATTAGAATAGAAATGGAGGAATACAACCACAGAGGAGCTGGAGCAGAGGGAGTCCAGATGCCCAGCCCTCAGAGAGCAGGGTCATTCCCAGGGACAGTCCCTCCCAGGCCAGTGGCTTCTGTGCCTTTGGCTGTTGGTCCTGAAAGAGAGGTGCCTTCAGGGTTAGGGGTGTCTGAGCTCAGTCTCAGGGGTCACACAGACAGGGTTCTGGCCCCAGCCCCAGCACTTCCTCTTCACTGGCTGAGTCTGTGGCCATCTCTCCAGGATGTGGCCTTCAGATGCTGTAACTCCTAACTCCCAGTCTCTGCCCTTCCCCACTCAGTGTCTCTCACCAAGGTTCAATTTCTGGCTGGGTGTGGTGTCTCACACCTGTGATCCCAGCACTTCAGGAGGCTGAGGCAGGAGGATCGCTTGAATGCAGCAGTTCAAGACCAGCCCGGGCAACAAAGTGAGATCCCCGTCTCTCTTTTTTTTGAGATGGAGTCTCTCCCTGGTGCCCAGGCTGGAGTGCAGTGGCATGATCTTGGCTCACTGCAACCTCTGCCTCCCAGGTTCAAGTGATTCTCCTGCCTTAGCTTCCCGAGTAGCTGGGATTATAGGCACTCACCACAATGCTTGGCTAATTTTTGTATTTTTAGTAGAGATGGGGTTTTACCATGTTGGCCAGGCTGGTCTCAAACTCCTGACCTCAAGTGATCCACCAGCCTCGGCCTCCCAAAGTGCTGGGATTACAGGCATGAGCCACTACATCCAGCTGAGATCCCCATCTCTACAAAAAAATTGTTAGAGATTGGCTGGTCGTGGTGGTGTGCACCTGTAGTCTCAGCTACTCAGGAGGCTGAGGTGGGAGGATCACTTGAAGCCCAGAAGGCAGAGGTTAGAGGTTGCAGTGAGCCGTGATTGCACCACTGCACTCCAGCCTGGGTGACAGAGCGAGACCCTATCTCCAAAAAAAAAAAAAAAAAAAAAAAGGGACGATTTCTGGGAAAGAGAGCCGGGTTGCCTAGCTCGGGTCACAGGCCTGCCTCTGAGAAGAGGGGACAGTACCCTGTGTTTGGCAGTTTCACCATCACCAGATGGATGGGGGAGGGGCAGATCCTTGCCACGAACAGAGTTTGTGCTCACTACCCACCAAGTTCATAGATTGAAATCCTAACCCCCAAGGTGATGGTGTTAGGAAGTGGGGCCTTGTGTTGTGATTAGGTCATGAGGGTGGAGCTCTCATGAGTGGGATTAGTGCCCTTATTTTATTTGTTTATTTTTTTTGAGATGGAGTTTCGCTCTAGATGCCCAGGCTGGAGTGCAATGGCACAATCTTGGCTCACTGCAATCTCTGCCTCCTGGGTTCAAGCGGTTCTCCTGCCTCAGCCTCCTGAGTAGCTGGGATTACAGGTGCCAACCACCATGCCCAGCTAATTTTTGTGTTTTTAGTAGATATGGTGTTTCACCATGTTGGCCAGGCTGCTCTCAAACTCCTGACTTCAGTTGATCTGCCCACCTCAGCCTCCCAAAGTGCTGGGATTACAGGCGTGAGCCACGGCACCCGGCCGGATTACTGCCCTCATAAAAAAGACTCAGGCTGGGCACCGTGGCTCACGCCTGTAATCCCAGCACTTTGGGAGGCTGAGGTGGACAGATCCCTTGAGCCCAGGAGTTTGGGACCAGCCTGGGCAACATAGTGAGACCCCGTCTTTGCAAAAATACAAAAATTAGCCAGACATGGTGGCACACACCTGTAGTCCCAGCTACTCAGGAGGCTGAGGCAGGAGAATCACTTAAACCCAGGAGGCCAAGGTTGTAGTGAGCAGAAATCGTGCCACTGCACTCCAGCCTGGGTGACAGAGTAAGACTGTCTCAAAAATAAATAAACAAATAAATAAAAATAAAAGACACTCAATGCACAAACAGGCATGTAAAAGAAATTGGCTGGGTGCGGTGACTCACCCCTGTAATCCAAGCACTTTGGGAGGCCAAGGTGGGGGGCATCGCTTGAGTTCAGGAATTTGAGACCAGCCTGGGCAACATGGAGAGACCCCATCTCTATTTAAATAAAAAATAAAATAAACTAAAATAAATACAAATAAAATAAGAAAAATAAAAGAGACCCAAGAGAGCTCTCTTGCCTCTTGTGCTATGTGAGGACACAGTGAGGAAAGTGCCATCTATAAGACCCCGAATCTGCCAGCACCTTGACTTTGGACTTCCAGCCGCCAGAACTGTGAATTGTGAGAAGTAAATTTCTGTTGTTTATAAGCATCCTGAATAGATTAAGATGATCCCCAAAGACAGGGGTTGCTATGACCAGAAGAGGGAGGTGAAAGATGCTGGGAAGGCCAATCAGAAGCTCCCCACCCCAGAAGGCCACCTGTCTGTTCTGGTCCTGGCCTCCGTGAATACAAACTTCTCTTTCATTGTGTTCCTCCTCCCTTCCTTCCTCTTTCCTCCCTCCCTCACAAATTGTTTGCTCTGTTTCAGGCATACTAATAAGCCCAGGGAAGAAGAGTCAGACCCAGTGCCAGCGCAGGGGAAACGCATCTAATCCAGAACAGCAGACACAGCTCCTCTCCCATGGAACACCCAGAGCAGACATTGCCAGTCGATCCCAGCACCCTTTCCCCGGGAGCCTGGGCTCAGCCTCAAGACTTTGCTTCCGCTTCACAAAGCTCTGCACAGCCAGTTCTCATCAATTGGAGTTGGTCCAAAATATGGAAACTCTTTGCTCTGCCTGACCCAAACCATTCCTCTTTCCCATAACAATTCTGACATTTAAAAACAGCAGAATTCCCCAACACTCATCCCCGGGAAAAGAAATTTGGCATTGTTGGTACTTTCAACTCCTGACCCTGGTCAGCTGTTGAGTCAACTTGTGGTTGAGTCTGAGCCCCATTTCTGCAGACAGAAAGACCGCATTTGCGTTTCTGAGTCTCAGGTTTAGGATGAATTTTGTATAGTCACTGTAACAAATTACTGCAAACGTAGTGGCTTAAAATAAAACAAATCCATTAGCTTACAATTCCAGAGATTAAAAGTCCAAAATGAATCTTTAAAAAATTTTTAATTTAGTTTTATTTTTTAATTTTCCTTTTTTTTGAGACAGAGTCTCACTCTGTCGCCCAGGCTGGAGTGCAGTGGCACGATCTTGGCTCACTGCAACCTCCACCTCCCGGGTTCAAGGGATTCTAGTGCCTCAGCCTCCCAAAGTGCTGAAATTATAGGCATAAGCCACCACGCCTGGCCCAAAATGAATCTTACAGGCCTGAAATCAAGACGTCAGCAGGGTGATGTTCCTTTTTTGTTGTTGTTTCGCTTTTGTCCCCCGGGCTGGAGTGCAGTGGTGGGATCTTGGCTCACCGCAACCTCCGCCTCCCAGGTTCAAGCGATTATCCTGCCTCAGCCTCCTGAGTAGCTGGAATTACAGGCATGCGCCACCACGCCGAGCTAATTTTGCATTTTTAGTAGAGACGGGGTTTCTCCACGTTGGTCAGGCTGGTCTCGAACTCCTGACCTCAGGTGATCCACCCACCTCGGCCTCCCAAAGTGCTGGGATTACAGGCATGAGCCACTGCACCAGGCCAGGGTGATGTTCTTTATAGAGGCTCCAGGTGAGGATCTGTTTCCCTGTCTTTTCCAGCATAATCTAGAGGCTGCCCACATTTTTTTTTTTTTTTTTGAGACAAAGTCTCGCTCTTGTCCCCCAGGCTGGAGTGCAGTGGCGTAATCTCGGCTCACTGCAACCTCCACCTCCCAGGTTCAAGCGATTCTCCTGCCTCAGCCTGCCGAATATCTGGGATTACAGGTGCATACCACCACGCCCGGCTAATTTTTGTATTTTAAGTAGAGACAAGGTTTCACCACGTTGGTCAGGCTGGTCTCAAACTCCCAACCTCAGGTGATCCGCCCGCCTTGGCCTTCCAAAGTGTTGGGATTACAGGTGTGAGCCACCCCGCCCAGCTGAGGCTGCCCACATTTCTTGACTGGTGTCCCCATCCTCCATCTTTGAAACCTTTGCTTCCATCCTCATACCTCCTGACTTGCTGGCCTTCTGCTTTCCCCTTTCTAGGGTCTTCGAAATTATATCACCTCTTCCTAGATAATCCAGGATACTCTCTTTATCTCAAGATTCTTAACAAAATCCTCTCAGCAAAGTTCCTTTTGCCATGTAAGGTAATATTCACAGGTTCTGGGGATTGGACTGTAGACATCTTTGGGGGCCATTATTCCATGCACCACAGGTTCCTTACCTGTCAAATGGGGATATTGATAACCTTCTTCATGGACTTGGTGGGGGGGAAGTTGATGTACCGTGATTCATGTGAAGCATTTAGCATTTAGCAGAGTGCTGGCATAAGAAAATGACTTGACAAATCCTAGCACTTTGGGAGGCCGAGGCAGGAGGAGCTCTTGAGCGCAGGAGTTTGAGACCAGCCTGGGCAATATAATGAGACCCGATCTCTCCAAAAAAAAAAAAAAAAAAAAAAAAGCCAGGCATGGTTGGGCATGCCTGTGGTTGCAGCTGCTTGCAGGGCTGAGGTGGGAAGTGCAACTTTCAAGGCTGCAGTGAGCCGTGATCACACCATCGCACTCCAGTTTGGGTGACAGAGCAAGACCCTGTCTTGAAAGAAGGAAGGAAGGAAGGAGGGAAGGAGGGAAGGAGGGAAGGAGTGAAGGGAGGGAGGGAGGAAGGGAGGGAAGGAAGGAGGGAGGGAGGAAGGGAGGGAAGGAAGGAGGGAGGGAGGAAGGAGAACTTTGGGAGGGAGGGACGGAGGGAGGGAGAGAAAATGATTTGACATCTTGCATTTTATGGGATACTTCAGCATTAATGGGAGCAGTTGTTGGAGAGAGCTCAGAGCCCTGATCCGCCCTGTATGCCATGTCATCTCGTCCCCTTCTGGGCACCCTGTGTCTAGCTGTAGTGATGAGAGTGTGAAGTTTGCATTTAGTCCTTTCCAGGTTGTGTTCTGCAACCCTCCCTCCCCATCTCCTAGCTTTTTGTAGAGATCCTCTTATCAGAACCCCCTGGGAGCTTGTTAGGGAACCTGTTGGAAATACACATTCTCAGCCCCTCTGCAGACTGAAGCAGGAACTGAGGGTGGGGCCCAGTGAGCTGGGTTTAAAGGAGTCACCCAGGGGATTCTAAAGCTCCCTGGAGCAACCTCTGAAGCACGCCCACCCCACCTGCAACGTAGATACAGTGGCATTATCCCCATTTCCCAGATGAGGTTGCTAAGGCTCAGGGAGGTAAGCGGCTTGCCTAAGGCCACGTAGGTAGTGGGTGGCGAGCCTGGGCCTGGTGCACTTTCCACATCACCATAAGCTTCCACCGTGGGCACCTCCCTTCTCGGTGCCACCTTGACACGGGGCCCAGGGCCAGATGCAACCGAAGAAGTTCCACCCAGCCACTCCCAGGGCACAGCCAAAGCCCTCGGACCGCTCCCTCCTCACCTGTCCTGTGTCATTCTGGGCAGGGCCCAGCATTCAGCTGGCAGACTCAGGTTCTGATAACTAATTTACACTGAAGTATCAATGGCTGATTACGCCTTCAGGGTTACCTCTCCACTTATTTATTTATTTATTTGGAAACAGAGTCTCACTCTGTCACCCAGGCTGGAGTGCAGTGGTGCGATCTCGGCTCAGTGCAACCTCTGCCTCCCAGGTTCAAGCGATTCTCCTGCCTCAGCCTCCCGAGTAGCTGGGATTACAGGCGTGCGCCACCACGCCCAGCTAATTTTGTATATTTAGTAGAGATGGGATTTCACCATGTTGACCAGGCTGGTCTTGAACATCCAACCTCAGGTGATCCACCCACCTCAGTCTCCCAAAGTGTTGGGATTACAGACGTGAGCCACCACGCCCAGCTAATTTTTTGTATTTTTAATAGAGATGGGGTTTCTTCATGTTGGTCAGGCTGGTCTCAAACTCCCGACCTCAGGTGATCTTCCCGCCTCAGCCACCATGCCCGGTTGCTTTTTTTTTTTTTTTTTTTTTGGAAACAGTCTCGCTCTGTCACCCAGGCTGGAGTGCAATGGCACAATCTCATCTCACTGCAACCTCTGCCTCCTGGGTTCAAGGGAGTCTCATGCCTCATCCTTCTGAGTAGCTGGGACTACAGGTGTGTGCCACCATGTCTGGCTAATTTTTATTTCTGTATTTATTGGAAAGAGATAGGGTTTTGCCATGTTGGCCAAGCTGGCCTCCAACTCCTGGCCTCAGGTGATCTGCCTGCCTTGGCCTCCCAAAGTGCTGGGATTACAGGCGTGAGCTACCGAACCAGCCTCGATTGCAAGAATTATATGGAAATTGTGGTCTTCTTCCCAGATCACCTTGACTGGCTGCTGAGAGCCAAGCCCAACCAGAACAGAGTCACCTAGGTTACAGAGTAGGGAGGTCCAGGGGAAAGCCTGTGTCCTTCCTGGAGCAGCACCCATCTGTGCCACCCGCATGGGACTGCCTGGGGTCCAGTGCCTGGCAAGGCCCTGCTTCTAGAAGCCCTCCCTGATGCCAGCCCTGAGCTCCCAGCCCTGTGGGAGGCAGTGGGCTCTGTGTAGAGAGCACTGAGCTAGGTTGGGCCCGGTGGCTCACGCCTGTAATCCCAGCACTTTGGGAGGCCGAGGCAGGCAGGTCACTTGAGGTCAGGAGTTCAAGACCAGCCTGGCCAACATGGTGAAACCCTGTCTCTACTGAAAATACAAAAATTAGCTGGGCGTGGTGGCGGGTGCCTATAATCCCAGCTACTCAGGAGGCTGAGGCAGGAGAATCGCTTGAACCCGGGAGGTGGAAGTTGCAGTGAGCCAAGATCACTCCACTACACTCCAGCCTGGGCAACAGAGCGAGACTCCATCTCAAAAACAAACAAAAAAAGATGTGCTGTTTTCCTCCCCGTGACTGTAATTTCTTCGAGGGCAAGCCCCTGTGTCTGTGTTTGCTTTTCCTGCCTTCTCTGCCCCGTGCTTTATGCTGAGCTGTACACATCACGGTGCTCAATAAAGACTTGCTGATAACTTCCCAAAAACCCTAGCTTTGCTCAGGAGAATGCTTTTCTTACAACTCTCAGACAAACACTGTCTCCACTGAGTGAACACCACAGGCCCAGCAAGAGAAACTTCAAGGAAGGCTGGCCCAATGGCAGTCAGTTATCAGAACTTATTCACATTTGTGTCACTAAAGTTGTACACCTCCACTGCTAACCTTAACTGGCTTAAAAAATTTTTTAGAAAAGAGAGAAACGTCAAGGAGATGACAGAGCAAGCTTTCTAGAACATGCCGCTCTGTTCAACCTTCTCCTCAGCCACCACCAGATTCACACTATCAGTCATCAAGCCCTATGAATCTGGCCTCAGTCACCTTTCCAACCTAATCTTTGTGTTTTTTTTTTTTGTTTGTTTTTTGTTTTTTGTTTTTTTTTGAGACGGAGTTTCACTGTGTCACCCAGGTTGGAGTACAGTGGCGTGATCTTGGCTCACTGCAAACTCCGCCTCCTGGGTTCAGGCGATTCTCCTGCCTCAGCGTACTCTCCTAGTAGCGGGGATCACAGGCATGCACAACCACACCTGGCTAATTTTGTATTTTTAGTAGATATGAGGGTTTCACCATTTTGGCCAGACTGGTCTTGAACTCCTGACCTCAAGTGATCCACCCACCTCAGACTCCCAAAGTGCTGGGATTACAGGCGTGAGCCACCGCACCCAGCCCCAACCTCATCTTTTTTACTCTAGGCTCTTGCTCACGCTGGTCCCTCTAGACTACCCTTTGGAGTGCTGTTCCCTCCACAGCTCAGGTGCCACCTCTTCCAAGAAGCCTTCTCACATGCCACCTCCTGCAAAGACATGCAGAAAGTTACTCCCATCTCCACATTTCTACCCCTTAGTCTAGTGATCCCTCCCTTTCAGATTTGTCTAATGGTTTTCATTATTCCTAGCACAGTGCCTGGCTTGTCCAATAAATGGAGGTCAAATTCACTTGAATTATAGTCTAGGGTGAGAGACAGTGTGCAGTGGGGAGAGATGAAAAGGACATGAGACTTTTCCCATAGACAGGGGCTACAGCTGGAAGGGACTCTCCCCCAGGAAGGCCGGCAGATGGAAAACAGCTGGTGGCTGAGGGTTGCTGTGACTCACCCACCCCTGCAGGCTGGGGGACACTGCAGACAGGGTGAGTCAGGAGTCAAAGGCCTACAGGAATTTTGGTAAGAATAAGACAAGCTCTGGAGTATTTCTAAAATGCAGGAGGTTAAGGATTCAGGGAGTGGGGTCAGGACAAAAGAGCCTAATTATGTTATTCATTTTTTTGCCTGCATGAAATAGTTACATGGTACAAAATTCAAAAGGTACAAAGCGGGCACAGTAAGACAAAGTCTTCTACCCTGTCTTGTTCCTGCCACCTAGGTCCTCTTCCAAGAAGCAGCCCATGTTTCCAGTTGCTTATACTTAACATACTTCCTATACTCTTCTTTTTTTTTGAGACAGAGTATCGCTTTGCAACCTCCAACTCCCTGGTTCAAGCGATGGTCTTGCCTCAGCCTCCCTAGTAGCTGAGATTACAGGCACACGCCACCATGCCCAGTATTTTTAGTAGAGACGGGATTTCACCATGTTGGCCAGGATGGTTTCAATCGCTTGACCTCGTGATCTGCCTGCCTTGGCCTCCCAAAGTGCTGGGATTACAGGCGTGAGCCACCACACCAGGCCATTTTTTTTTTTTAAGACGGAGTTTCGCTCTTGTTGCCCAGGCTGTAGTGTAATGGCACAATCTCCGCTCACTGCAACCTCCGCCTCCCGGGTTCAAGCGATTCTCCCACTTCAGTCTCCCGAGTAGCTGGGATTACAGACGCATGCCACCAGGCCTGGCTAATTTTTTTATTTGTGTTTTTAGTAGAGGCAGGGTTTCACCATGTTGGCCAGGTGGGTCTCAAACTCCTGACCTCAGGTGATCCACCTGCCTCGGCCTCCCAAAGTGCTACGATTACAGGTGTGAGACACGGCACCTGGCTAATAAATTTCTATCATCTATAAATTACCCATGTCTAAGGTATTTTGTTACCACAGCCCAAACAGACAGCATTTCATATCAGCACATACAGAACTTTCTCATTTTTTTCTTTCACTGTGTTTAGGGTTGCCCGATAAAATACAAGATGCCTACTTAAATTTGAATTATTTGCATTTCCAATACAGAAAAAGAACTTTTTAGTGTAAGTTTGTCCCATGCAATATTTGGGACATACTTATGCTAGAAAGTTATTTATTTATCTGAAATTCAAGCCAGCTGTTCCGTATTTGTATTTGTTAAATCTGACCACCCTTGTTACCTTATATGGGAGCTCCTTATTTTAAATCACTGGGGGCTTCAGGAACCAGGTGCCTGGACTTGGTGGGTGTCCATTCTCTGACTGTATTCTGAATTAGGCTCTAGAGGCTCCAGGGTTTGTGTCCAGTGCTGAATTTCCACCTCCAGGCCCCATTTACTGAAATAAGAAATTAGCTGGGTGTGGTGGCTCATGCTTGTAATCTTTGTACTTTGGGAGGTGGGAGGATCCCTTGAGACCAGGAGTTCGAGACCAGGCCGGGCAATATAGTGAGATTCCCATCTCTACAAAAAAATTTTTTTAAATTATCCAGGTGTGGTGGTTCACACTAGTAATCTCAGCAATTTGGGAGGGTGAAGTGGGAGGATCGCTTGAACCCAGGAATTGGAGGATGCAATGAGGTATGATCATGCCACTGCACTCTAGCCTGGGTGACAGAGTGAGACCCTGACTTTTTTTTTTTTTTCTTAAGACGGAGCCTCGCCCTATCGCCCAGGCTGGAGTGCAGTGGCTCAGTCTCAGCTCACTGCAACCTCTGCCTCCCAGGTTCAAGCAATTCTCCTGCCTCAGCCTCCTGGTAGCTGGGATTACAGGCATGTACCACCACACCTGGCTAATTTTTGCGTTTTTAGTAGAGATGGAGTTTCACCATGTTGACCAGGCTGGTCTCGAACTCCTGACCTCAAGTGATCCACCCACTTCAGCCTCCCAAAGTGCTGGGATTACACCGCTCCCGGCTTGAGACCCTGACTCTTAAAAAAAAAAGAAAAGAAACAAAAAGAAAAAGAAGCCAGGCACTGTGGCTCACACCTGTAATCCCAGCACTTTGGATGGCCGAGGCAGGAAGATGCTTGTGTCCAGGAGTTCGAGATCAGCCTAGGTAACAAAGTGAGACCTCATCTCTACAAAAAATAAATCAAAACTAGCTGGGCATGGTGGCATGAGCCTGAGGTCCCAGCTACTTGGGAGGCTGAGGTGGGAGGATGGCTCAAGCCTGGAAGGTCAAGGCTACAGTGAGCTGTGATTGTACCACTGCAGTCTAGCCTGGGTGACAGAGTGAGACCTTGTCTCAAAAAAAAAAAAAAAGAAAGAAAGAAAGAAATGAAAAGCCCATAGAGTGGCCAGGCGCAGTGGCTCACACCTGTAGTCCCAGCACTTTGGGAGGCCGAGGTGGGTGGATCACCTGAGGTCAGGAGTTCGAGACAGCCTGGCCAACATAGTGGAACCCCATCTCTACTAAAAATACAAACATTAGCTGGGCGTGGAGGCACGTGCCTGTAATCCCAGCTACTCAGGAGGATGGGCCAGGAGAATCGCTTGAACTCGGGAGGTGGAGGTTGCAGTGAGCCAAGATCAAGCCACTGTACTCCAGCCTGGGTGACAGAGCAAGACTCCGTCTTGGGAAAAAAATAAATAAATAAAAAGATCAGGCAGGGCACAGTGGCTCACGCCTGTAATCCCAGCACTTTGGGAAGCTGAGGCGGGTGGATCACTTGAGGTCAGGAGTACGAGAACAGCCTGGCCAACATGCTGAAACCTCGTCTCTACTAAAAAAATAAATAAATAAATACAAAAATTAGCTGGGCGTGGTGGCGCATGCCTGTAGTACCAGCTACTCATGAAGCTGAGGCAGGAGAATCACTTGAACTCGGGAGATGGAGGTTGCAGTGAGCCGAGATTGCGCCACTGTACTCCAGCCTGGGCAACAGAGCGAGACTCTGTCTCAAAAAAAAAAAAAAAAAAAAAAGATCAGACCTATTCTCCTGAGCTGGACACTGAGAGGCAGACGGGTAAATCATTTTATTGTTTGCTGAGGTCCCCCAACCAGGAAGTGGTAGTGCTGGAATTTTAACCCAGATATATTTGACGCCAAGGCTCAAACTCTTTCCACTGGGATTATTAACCCTTATCAGTACATCTGTGCCATGTTTTCAGGTAAGAA